>NW_003571056.2:0-195632 GCF_000001405.40 Homo sapiens
TGTCAGTTGCTTGGTGTGGTGAAGCAATGAGAGTGTTTTTTTCGGGGGAGGAGGTGTCAGATAGATCAAGAATTTATAATTAGCATAAGAAATGTACTTCTTAACAAAGCCAGCCTGGGCAACATAGTGAGATTCCCATCTCTACAAAAAAAAAAAAAAAAAAATTAGCCCAGTGTGGTGGTGCACACCTGTGGCCCCAGCTACTTGGGAGGCTGAGGCAGGAGGATTGCTTGAGCCTGGGAGGTCAAGGCTGCAGTGAGCTATGATTGTGCCACTGCACTCCAGTCTGTGTGACAGTGCAAGACCCTGTCTCAAAAAATAAAAAGAAAAAAAAAGAAACATACTAAAAAAGGACACATATTAGCAATATGAAACAAGAACAATTTTCCATAAAGCAAGAGGCTTATGGAAATAAAAAGTATAAAAATACATGATGGTAAAAAATATATAACATTATCCTCTAACAGAATAGGCAGTAGGGTGGGTGCCGTGGCTCACGCCTGTAATCCCAGCACTTTGAGAGGCTGAGGTGGGATGATCACTTGAGACCAGGAGTTCGAGACCAGTCTGGGCAACATGGTGAGACCGTGTCTCTTTAAAAAAAAAAAAAAAAAAGGCAGAATTGATACAGCTGAAGAAAAATGAACAAGTAAGAAAATGTGGTGGAGGAACTTCTCCAGGAAGCTGATATAATTATATTAAGATCAGAAAAAATAAGAGAAAAGTCATCGTACGATATAAGGGACAGGTGTTTCTCAAAATCCAAAATCTTCTCTGCTAAGAGAATCCTGATTTTGTTTTTGTTTTTGTTTCTTGAGATGCAGTCTTGCTCTGTCGCCCAGGCTAGAGTGCAGTGGTGCAATCTCAGCTCACTGCAAACTCCACCTCCCAGATTCAAGTGATTCTCCTGCCTCAGCCTCCCCAGTAGCTGGATTACAGGTGCTCGCCACCACACCCAGCTAATTTTTGAATTTTTAGTAGAGACGGGGTTTCACCATGTTGGTCAGGCTGGTCTCAAACTCCTGACCTCGTGATTCGCCCACCTCAGCCTCCCAAAGTGCTGGGATTACAGGCCTGAGCCACCGCACCCAGCCGAGAACCCTGATTTTGTTCAGGTGTCAGTTGGCCACCCTTGTTCCTTGGAGACTTGGCCCTTTTCTAGTTTCAGGCATGAATCTTGATTAGTCTAAGGCTTAGTGACGTGCTGGTTGTGAAAGTGTGGTCCCTGAACCAGCAGCGTCAGCATCACCTGGGAGCTCGTCAGAAAGGCAAATTCTTGAGCCCCACCCCAGACCTACTGAATCAGTCAGAAACTCTGAAGGTGAGCTTTTCCTTTCTCCTCCTCTCCAACCTATGGTTTGACAAGTCCTCCAGGTGATTCTGATGCACACTGAAGTTTAAACACCTTTAGCCCAGTTAGGTAAACTCACGCCCACTGCTAGTGGTTATTTAAGGAAGGGGCTGGATGCAATTGTGTTTCTTGAGATGTGAGTGGAAATCTCGTGGGAGGCTTCCTCATGTTGGAGAGGGCCGCGTTGGAAGGGCCTTTCTATGCCCTTCGTCTGCTTTTTATCTCATCCTTTCCAAAAAATTAACTTTTTATTTATTTATTTGAGACAGAGTCTTGCTCTTGTCGCCCAGGCTGGAGTGCAGTGGCGCGATCTCGGCTCACTGCAACCTCCACCTCCTGGGTTCAAGCAATTCTCCTGCCTCAGCCTCCCGAGTAGCTGGGGCTACAGGCACCTGCTACTATGCCCAGCTAATTTTTGTATTTTCCGTAGAGACAGGGCTTCACCATGTTGGCCAGGCTGGTCTCAAACTCCTGACCTCAAGTGATCTGCCCACCTCAGCCTCCCAAAGTGCTGGCATTACAGGAGCGAGCCACCTCACCTGGCTTAACTTTTTATTTTAAAATAGTTCTGGAGGCCAGGTGTGGCAGCTCACGCCTATAATCCCAGCACTTTGGGAGTCTGAGGCAGAAGGATCTCTTGAGCCCAGGTGTTCAAGACCAGCCTGGGCAACATGGCAAAATCCCATCTCTACAAAAAAGTTTTTAAAAATTAGCATTTGCCTGTGCGTCCAGCTTCTCAGGAAGCTGAGGCGGGAGGATCACTTGAGCTTAGGAGGTCAAGGCTGCAGTGAGACACCATACTGGGATTACAGGCGTGAGACACCACTCCAGGTCTGGGTTCTCTTTTTTTTTTTTTTTTTTTTTGAGACAGAGTCTCACTCTTTCGCCCAGGCTGCAATGAAGTGGCACCATCTTGGCTCACAGCAACCTCCACCCCGCAGATTCAAGCGATTCTCCTGCCTCAGCCTCCTGAGCAGCTGGGATTACAGGCGCCCGCCACCAAGCCTGGCTAATTTTTATATTTTAGAGATGCCCAGGCTGGAGTACAGTGGTGCGATCTCAGCTCAACACAACCTCCACCTCCCGGATTCAAGTGATTCTCCTGCCTCAGCCTCCCCATTAGCTGAGATTACAGGCATGCACCACCACGCCCGGCTAATTTTGTATTTTTAGTAGAGACAGGGTTTCTCTGTGTTGGTCAGGTTGGTCTCCAATTCCTGACCTCCGGTGATCTGCCTGCCTCGGCCTCCCAAAGTGCTGGGATTACGGGTGTGAGCCACTGTGCCCGGCTGATCTTACATTTTCTTGTGCACTTATTCATGAGCTTTTTTTTTTTTTATGAAAATGAATTCCTACCATCCATTCTCCTTCCAAACTGCTCATACCCAGTATTCCCAAGGTTTTTGCACATGTATATAACAGAATGTCAAAGTAGATTCATTGCAATCTCAGTTTCTGCTCAGGCCCAAAGATTATAGATGCCAGCGAGGTCAGATCTCACAGTAAGGCCATTTCTGCATGACTTCAGGAGAAAATGCTGAAAACCTAATTTCCCCACACCCTTGGCCTCTTGTCCACCTGAAGGTAAGAAAGGAGTGTTGGGGGGAAGGGGGAGGGATAGCATTAGGAGATATACCTAATGCTAAATGACGAGTTAGTGGGTGCAGCACACCAGCATGGCACATGTATACATATGTAACTAACCTGCACATTGTGCACATGTACCCTAAAACTTAAAGTATAATAATAATAAAATAAAATAAAAATAAATAAATAAATAAAAATTAAAAAAAGAAAAAAAAAAGAAAGGAGTGTTGAGATTAGAAGGTATTTTTTTTCCTATTGGGATACAGGTGGTGTTTGGTTGCATGAGTAAGTTCTTTAGTGGTGCTTTGTGAGATTGTGGTGTAGCCATCACCCAAGCAGTATACACTGCACCCCATTTATAGTCTTTTATCCCTCGCCCCCCTCTCACCTTTCCCCCCAAGTCCCCAAAGTCCATTGTATCATTCTTATGCCTTTGCATCCTCATAGTTTAGCTCCCACATATCAGTGAGAACATATGATGTTTGGTTTTCCATTCCTGAGTTACTTCACTTAGAATAATAGTCTCCAGAGATTAGAAGAGTTTTTGTTTTGTTTTGTTTCTGTGTGTTTGTTTACGTAAGCTGTTGGTGTGCTGTGAGTCCCATCCTCTGTCCACCGTAGATGTGTGATGGAGGATGACAGTCTCTTCAACTGGACAATTCAGAGTAGTTATATGGGGTGAGGGGCGGGTCCAGAGAGGAATGGGGTCTGATATGGTTTGGCTTTATGTCCCCACCCAAATCTCATCTTGAATTGTAATCCCCAGGTGTTGGGGGAGGAACCTGGTGGGAGGTGATTGAATCATGGAGGTGGCTTCTACCTTGTTGTTCTCATGATAAAGTGAGTTCTCAGGAGATCTGATGGTTTTATAAGCGTTTGGCAAGTTCCTCCTTTGCTTGCTCTTCTCTCTCTCTTGTTGCCTTGTGAAGAAGATATTTGCTTCTCCTTCCCCTTCTGCCATGACTGTAGTTTCCTGAGGCCACCCTAGCCATGTGGAATTGTAAGTCAATTAAATCTCTTTCTTTTTTTTTTGAGACTGAGCCCCCCTGTCATCCAGGCTGGTGTGCAGTGGTGCAATCTCAGCTCACTGCAACCTCCGCCTCCTGGGTTCAAGCGATTCTCCTGCCTCAGCCTACCGAGTAACTGGGACAACAGGCATGCGCCAATAGCCGGCTAATTTTGTATTTTTAGTAGAGGTGGCGTTCACCATGTTGACCAGGCTAGTCTCGAACTCCTAACCTCAAGTGATCCGCCCACCTCAGCCTCCCAAAGTGCTAAGATTACAGGTGTGAGCCACCACACACGGCCTCGGCTATTTATAGCAGTGTGAGAACGGGCTAACACAGGGTCTTTCCTCACTGGAGAGAGAGGGTGGGAGGAGAGAGAGAGGGTGGGAGGGGAGAGAGGGGAGAGGGGAGAAATGGGGGAGGGGGGGAGAGGGGGGAGAGAGAATGAATATGAGAATGAATGTACCAGGAGCTTTTATCCTTTGCAGGAGCGCCACCTGGAGGTAGGAGGTGAAGTCTGCAGAGAGAAGCTGGAAATGTACTGACGGATCCCCAAGGATTCAGTAATGTGACCAAGTGGAGGAGCTGCATTTACAGGCATCAAGGGAACTGCAGGTGAGAGGTCTGCAGCCTTGCAAGAGAGTGGGGGAAGCAGGAGAAGCTCCACGTGGGGAGATAAAGGAAAAGCTGACCACGCTTCCTCCACGTTGCAGGCAACCTGCCGAAAGGATTTTAATCACTGAGCTGACACTGTATTTTTTTCTTGTATGTGACTTTTTTAAGAAGCAGCTGGAAGTCTTTATGACCTAAGATGACTATAAAAATTATGAGAAGGCCGGGCGCAGTGGCTCACACCTGTAATCCTAGCACTTTGGGAGGCCAAGGTGGGCGGATCACTTAAGGTCAGGAGTTCGAGACCAGCCTGGCCAACATGGCGAAACCCTGTCTCTACTAAAAATACAAAAATTAGCTGGGCGTGGTAGCACATGCTTGTAATCCCAGCTGCTCGGGAGGCTGAGGCAGGAGAATCACTTGAACCTGGGAGGCAGAGGTTGCAGTGAACCATGACTGCACCATAGCACTCCAGGCTGGGCAACAGAGCAAGACTGTCTCAAAAAAAAAAAAAGTTATGAGACTTGCTTTACATGTCACCCAAGGGCACAGGTAAAGAATTAGACCTAGGAGTTGGGTTGATAGGGCAATGGGAAAAAAGAAAAAAATTGTTTACTGAATCAAGGGAATAATCACACCTACATCTTTGCAACTCACGTGCTTACAACTAGGGCAACCAAATTGTTCCGGTTCGCCCAGGATTTTCTCTGGTTTAGCCCTGAAATTTCTGTGTCCTGGGAAATTCCTCATTTCTATTTTAAAACCGAAAGTCCCACATCCTAAGACACACACACACGCCCCTGCACACACCAATCCTGGTAAAACGGTAACAGTTGGTCATACTATCTACAACAACCCTATTCGAGATCTGTGTCTTCACGATGAGGAAAGGCACATGCAGTTCTGGAGATTTTAACACGTGTTCCCAAGGTCACACAACCTGCCCTTGTATCCAGCACTGAAAGCAGATGACTCTCCTCTTTCCACGATTCTAAGCCTCTTCCCGTAGCATGTCCCATGTGGAGGAGAAAAGTTAAGAAAATGAAACTGGCCAAAACTTGCTACTGCATTTGTGATTTTAGAAAGTAAATGATCAGACATTATTAAAATTATCAATGCAAAAAGAAAGTGAGACTGAACAGATTGTTTACCTTAACAAGATCAAGTTAAACTCGTATAGGGCTTATATATAATGCCGCTTAAAAGCTCAAGTTTATGCGGGGCAGTTTTGGTGGAAGAAGCTCAGGCAGTCCCTCTGGTGGTCGTTATAGATCTGGCCGTGGAACTGGTGGATATGAAAACAGAAGGTTCTAAAAACAGCAGAAAAGGGCAACAGTTCTTAGCAGGAGAGACAGTGAGGAAAGCTGCAGGTTACTTGGAGACAGTCATCCCAAATGCATTAGAGGAGGTGTAAAAATCTGCCACAGAAGGAACAATGATCCATAGTCAGAAAAGTTACTGCAGCTTAAGCAGGAAACCCTTCTTGTTCAGGACTGTCATAGCCACAGTTTGCAAAAAGTGCAGCTATTGATTAATGTGATGTAGTGTCAATTAGAGGTACATCCCTGAGGTCTTTAAAACAAAACAAACTCAGCCAGGCACGGTGGCTCACACCTGTAATCCCAGTGCTTTGGGAAGCTGAGGCAGGCAGATCACCTGAGGCTGGGAGATTGAGACCAGCCTGGCTAACATGGTGAAACCCCGTCTCTACGAAAAATACAAAAATTAGCCCGGCATGGTGGTGGGCGCCTGTAATCCCAGCTACTCAGGAGGCTAAGGCAGGAGAATTGCTTGAACCCAGGAGGTGGAGGTTTCAGTGAGCCAAGATCGTGCCACTGCACTCCAGCCTGGGTGACAAGAGTGAAACTCCGTCTCAAAAAATAAATTAAATAAATAAATAATTAGCTGGACGTGGTGGCAGGCACCTGTAATCCCAGCTACTTGGGAGGCTGAGGCAGGAGAATCACTTGAGCCTGGGAGGTGGAGGTTGCAGTGACCAGAGATCGTGCCACTGAACGCCAGCCTGGGCAACAGAGCAAGATTCTGTCTCAAAAACAAAAACAAAAACAAAAAAAGGCTCAAGTTTATGAATGAACTGTTCATATCAGGTGATGGTCTTTCAAAATAATGACTGTTTTGTACCAACTATTGTGCTCATGTGATTGATTGAACAATGCTTCCAAAGAATTTGAAACAATAAGGCAAAGAAACCTAATGTTCATAACAGAAAAAAAAATTAAATGTATAGCACTAGAAAAATTGATTTTTTTTTTTTTGAGACAGGGTCTCACTCTGTCACCCAGGCTGGAGTGCAGTGGTGCAATGATGGCTCACTGCAGCCTCCACCTCCTGGGCTCCAGCGATCCTCCTGCCTCAGCCTCTAGAGTAGCCCGGACTACAAGCATGCACCACCATGCTCAGCTAATTTTTGTATTTTTAGTATAGACAGGGTTTTACCATTTTCCCCAGGCTGGTCTCGAACTCCTATGCTCAAGCAATCAACTTGCCTCAGCCTCCCAAAGTGCTGGGATTACAGGCATGAACCACAGAGCCTGGCATGATACTAGAAAAATTCTTTTTTTTTTTTTGACATTTAAGTTCAGGGGTACATGGGCAGGATGTGCAGGTTTGTTACACGGGTAAACGTGTGTCATGGGGGTTTGTTGTACAGATTATTTTTTTTCTAGTGTATTTACTACTTCCTGATTATCAGATTATTTTATCACCCAGTTATTAAGCCTAGTACCCACTAGTTATTTTTCCTGATCCTCTCTCTGCTACCACCCTCCACCCTCTGACAGGCCCCAGCATGTGTGAAAAATTCTTATAGTCTTCTAGAAAATACAATAGGTAGCCTTTGGAACATAGGGTATCATAAAGAGAAGCTGTAGAAAATATATTTCTTTGAATTTTTTTTTTTTTTTTTTTTTACAAATGATCACTATAATGTTTAAAATATGTTTACCACCTACAGTTGTGTGCTAGGGAAGCCATAACAAAATGCCCCCCACTGGGGGGCTTATGGGACAGAAATGGATTTTCTCACCGTTCTGCAGGCTGGAAATCCAAGATGGAGGTGCCAGTAGGGTCAGTTTCTCCCGGGGTCTCTCTGCTTTGTATGCAGATGGCCGCCTTCTTGCTGTGTCTCCACGTGGTCTTTCCTCTGGATGTACATATCCTGGTGTCCTTTTCTTTTTTTTTTTTTTGAGTTGGAGTCTTACTCTGTTGCCCAGCTGGAGTGCAATGACACGATCTCAGCTCACTGCAGCCTCTGCCTCCTGGATTCAAGCGATTCCCCTGCCTCAGCCTATCGAGTAGCTGGGATTACAGGCGTGCACCACCGCGCCCAGCTAATTTTTGTATTTTTAGTAGACATGGGGTTTGGCCATGTTGGCCAGGCTGGTCTTGAACTCCTGACCTCAGGCGATCCGCCCACCTGGGCTTCCCAAAGTGCTGAAATTACAGGCGTGAGCCACCACACGTAGCCCCTAGTGTCTTTTTTATGTCCAAATTTCCTTTTTTCACAACGGCCTCTTGTCTCTAAATACAGTCACATTCTGAGTTACTGGGAGTTAGGATTCAGCACACGAATTTTGAGGAGATGTAATTCAGCCCATAATTAAGCCCTATCCTCATCAGACTGATGATCTGTGCTTTCTCTGAACTAACAGGATTTATATATTCCTTTTTAACAGCAAGGAACTCAGGTTCTCCATGGCCCCTTTATGAAGTTGCTCCTGCTGGTACATGACCCTCAGTTAGTTTCCTGAAGTTATTTACAAAGCCACCTCCACATGTGTTGAGCCTCTTCAGTTTACTTCAAATCCTGGGCCTGTGCTGCATGGCGGTGCTTTCCACAGATTCATATGTTAGATCTTTTCTATTTTTTTTTCTGAGACAGAGTTTCCCTCTGTCGCCCAGGCTGGAGTGCAATGGTGTGATCTCGGCTCACTGCAACCTCTGCCTCCTGGGTTCAAGCAATTCTCCTGCCTCAGCCTCCTGAGTAGCAGGGACTACAGGCGTGTGCCACTATTCCCAGCTAATTTTTGTATTTTTAGTAGAGGCAGGGTTTCACCATATTGGCCAGGATGGTCTCGATCTCTTGACCCCATGATCCTCCCACTTTGACCTCCCAAAGTGTTGGGATTACAGGTGTGAGCTACCGCGCCTGGCCACATATTAAATCTTTTTTTTTTTTTTTTTTTTTGAGACAGAGTCTTGCTCTGTCACCCAGGCTGGAGTGCAATGATGGATCTCGGCTCACTGCAAGCTCCGCCTCCCAGGTTCATGCCATTTTCCTGCCTCAGCCTCCCGAGTAGCTGAGACTACAGGCACCCGCCACCACACCTGGCTAATTTTTTGTATTTATAGTAGAGATATGTTAGCCAGGATGGTCTCGATCTCCTGACCTCATGATCCACCCACCTCGGCCTCCCAAAGTGCTGGGATTACAGGCGTGAGCCACCGCGCCCGGCCTCATGTTAAATCTTGACACCCAATGTGATCTGAGAGGTTGGGCCTTTGGTGATGGCAGCAGCCACTCCAGACGGCTTGCTGCTGCCATGACGCCACCTGCCCCAGGGAGGCCCAGCCCGGGCTATACACGCTATGGAGCCGCAGGGAGCCCTGCCCCTTCCGAGTTGGGGCGGGAGCTCCCAGGGTGATGCTACAGCTGTCCAAACCCCAGCTGTGGATCCGAGCCTCCCTCAGATCGTATCACATATCAAGACTTACTCTTGTTGACAAAAAGAGTCAAACTCTATAAAATATTTGAAGAGATTTATTCTGAGCCAAATATGATAATGACCATGGCCCCTGACACAGCCCTAAGGAGGTCCTGAGACCATGTACCCAAGGTGGTCGGGGGGCAGCTTGGTTTTATACATTTTAGGGAGGCGTGAGGCATCAATCAAACACATTTGAGAAATACATTGGTTTGGTCCAGAAAGGCTGGACAATTTGAAGGAGGCAGGGCCTTCCAGGCTTTAGGTAAATTAAAACATTTTCTGGTTGACAATTGGTTGAGTTTGTCTAAAGACCTGGGATTAATAGAGAGGAAATATTCAGGTTAAGATAAAAGATTGTGGAGACCAAGGTTCTTTTGAAGTCTTATAGTGGCTGCCCTTAGAGACAATAGATGACAAATGTTTCCTACTCAGACCTTCAAAAGTTGCTAGATTCTCAGTTAACCTCCTCAGGATTGGGAGGTCCTGGAGGAAAAAGATCTAGCAATGTTAACAGAGATCCTTTACATATGCAAATATTCCCCCCCACCAAGGACAGCTTTGCAGGGCCATTTAAAAATATGGCAAAGAAACATGTTTTGGGGTAAAATATTTTTATTTTCTTCTTTGTTAGGTAATGTTATGCCAGAGTCAGATTGGAAAGTAAGTCACGATATATAGGGCTAAATAAAACCCATCTGATGAGAATTTATGGTTTGTAGGGCATGAGACCCCAGACCCCTTAGATAAGAATCTGGGCAAGATAAAAAAAAAAAATCAGAGCTGAGTCCTCACTATGGTAATTCAGTGAGTGTGACTACCAGCATAGATGTCCATAAAGGATATCCATTAGGGCCACCCATTTTAATAATGTTTGCCAGGACCCTTCAATCAAAACAAAATCCATTCTCAGAATAGCTTAGAATCAAAGGAGGACTTTTTGGGTTTTTTTGGTTCAAGAAGGATTGGGCAAGAAAACTGCAGGGAGTGAAGGAATGCTGAGCTTTGGAAGCAATTAGAACCAAGAAAACAAAAGCTGAAAGCACTGTTACTCACTCCCGCTTCCCGGATGCTCCCTGAGTCATCTTTGTGTTTCTCCATAAAGACTGGCTTCCTCCACATGGCGAGACAGATGGCCACCAAGAACTCCCAAGCTTAAAAAAGAATGACTCTCTGTGGCAAGAAAACAAAGAGACACTCCTCCCCACCTTGCTACTCCCTATGTGGCCTCCACACTGCAACCTGGGACTGTGTAGTGAGGGGAGGGGGAGCGAAGAAGTTTGCGTTAGTCTGTTTTCACACTGCTGATAAAGACATACCTGAGACTGAGTAATTTATTTTTATTTTTATTTTTATTTATTTATTTTTTTGAGACGCACTCTGTCACCCAGGCTGGAGTGCAGTGGCACGATCTCCGCTCACTGCAAGCTCCGCCTCCCGGGGTCACACCATTCTCCTGCCTCAGCCTCCTGAGTAGCTGGGACTACAGGCGCCCGCCACCGCGCCCGGCTAATTTTTTGTATTTTTAGTAGAGACGGGGTTTCACTGTGTTATCCAGGATGGTCTCGATCTCCTGACCTCATGATCCACCCGCCTCGGCCTCCCAGAGTGCTGGGATTACAGGCGTGAGCCACTGCGCCCAGTCAGTTTACTTTTTAAAAAAGAGGTATAACGGACTTACAGTTCCACATGGCTGGGGAGGCCTCACAATCATGGCAGAAGGTGAAAGGCACATCTTACATGGTGGCAGACGACAGAGAAATGAGAGAGCCAAGCAAAAGGGGAAACCCGTTATAAAAACCTCAGCTCTCCTGAGACTTGTTCACTACCATGAGAACGGCATGGGGGAATGTGTGGGTGGAGGATTAGCCAGGTGCTGAGGCAAGAGACTGAAGGCACAAACTGTTGCAGTATAATAAAGAAAATAGAATAAGAATAGTCATAATACAAATTAGATGTAGAGATGATCATGGACAATTATCAATCATTATTATAAACATTATTAATCATTAGCTTTTAATATTACTCTTTGCTGCATTACTAATATAACCTAGGAATAACCGGCGGGTATAGGGTCAGGTGCTGAAGGGACATGGTGAGAAGTGACCTAGAAGGCAAGAGGTGAGCCCTCTGTCACGCGTGCATCAGGGCCGCTTGAGGGGTCCTTGGTCAAGCGGTAACGCCAGTGTCTGGGAAGGCACCCGTTACTTAGCAGACGGTGAAAGGGAGTCTCCTTTCCTTGGAGGAGTCAGGGAACACTCTGCTCCACCAGCTTCTTGTGGAAGGCTGGATATTATCCAGGCCTGCCCGCAGTCATCCGGAGGCCTAAACCCCTCCCTGTGGTGCTGTGCTTCAGTGCTCACACTCCTTGTCCACTTTCATGCTCCTCCCGTACTCCTGGCTCCTCTTTGAAGTTCATAGTAGATAGCGGTAGAAGAAATAGTGAAAGTCTTAAAGTCTTTGATCTTTCTTATAAGTGCATGGAAGAAAACGCTGACGTATGCTGCCTTCTCCCTCTCTCTCTGCTTCGGCTACCTAAGAGGGAAGGGCCCCCTCTCCTGTGATCACACGACTTGCTTCACCTTGTCAATCACTTCGAAGATTCACCCTGCTTACCCTGCCCCCTTATCTTGTATGCAATAAGTATCAGCGCGCCCAGCCGTTATGGGCCACTACCGGTCTCCGCGTCTTGATGGTTGTGGTCCTCCGGGCCCAGCTGTTTTCTCTTTATCTCTTTGTCTTGTGTCTTTATTTCTTACAATCTCTTATCTCTGCACACGGGGAGAACACCTGCAAAGCCCCATAGGACCCTGCAGGAATCCACCCCCATGATTGAATTATCTCCCACTGGGTCCATCCCACAACACATGGGAATTATGGGAGCTACAACTGAAGATGAGATTTGGGTGGGGACACAGACACAAGCCATATATCAAGGTTGTTCCTTCAGATGCAGCAATCCTGGGAGCTTCTGGTTAGGACAAGATACAAGCAGAGACAGCTTCATGGGTATTGTAAACTCAATGTTTGTGTCCCGACAAAATTCAGCTGTTGGAACCTAACCCCAAGGTGATGGTATTTGTAATACGGGAGCTAAAAAGAAATTATTGAGGCAGACAGTGAGGGTAAGAGAGTCCTCAGTAAGGTTTCCTATTAATAAAGAGCAGCCCCCAAATAATTTCTTTTCTAACAGAAAGCAGCCTGAAACATCAAGCTGCAAGCATAGATAAACAAGCTAAAATCTTGCATCAGCTGTGCCAATAGAAAACGGATGCCTGGGAGCCGGGTATATTCAACATGGAGGTTCCCTCTTCCCTTTTCTTTGTCCCCACATGTGCAGTAAAAAAGCAGACAACATGGCCCCGGCCAGGCAGAGACCCTACCTACGTAATAAAAGATTAGGGTGGGATGGCCAGCTTCTTTGGGGGCTATGCAAACGTCATACCTGGTCCGACTAATCTCTCAGGCCCTATGTAAATCAGACAGCACCTCCTCAAGCTTGTCTATAAAAGCCCCATGCATTTCACCACAAAACCAGGGGTCCCACTCGGGAACCCCTCTCTTCTCTGTGCAAAAGAGAGAACTATTCTCTTTTCTCTTTCTTTTGCTTATTAAGCCTTCACTCTTTTTTTTTTTTTTTTTTTTGAGATGGAGTCTGGCTCTGTCATTCAGGCTGGAGTGCAGTGGCACGATTTCGGCTCACTTCAACCTCCGCCTCCCAGGTGCAAGCAATTCTCCTGCCTCAGCCTCCCAAGTAGCTGGGATGACAGGCACCCACCACTGCGCCCAGCTAATTTTTATATTTTTAGTAGAGATGGGGTTTCACCGTGTTGGTCAGGCTGGTTTCGAACTCCTGATCTCAGGTGATCCGCCCCCCACTCGGTCTCCCAAAGTCCTGAGATTACAGGCGTGAGCCACTGCGCCCGGCCCAGTCTCTTTCACTATGTAAGGACACAGCAAGAAGGTGCCAGCTATGAACCAGGAAAAAAGCCCTCAGCAGACACTGAATCTACCAGTGCTTTGGTCTTGGACTTCCAGCCTCCAGAACCATGAGAAATAACTATGTGTTGTCTGTAAGCTGCCAGGTCTTTGGTATGTTGATAGCAGCCTGGATGGACTAAGACACTCTCTCCTTCCCTCTCATGCCCTGGACCCTCATCAGGGCCAGAAGTGGTTGGGGTGATGGCCCAAGCAGACTTTAAAAAGCACTGGCCTAGCACAAGGGTTGGCACGCTAGAGCCCACAGCTTGTTTTTGCAAATAAAATTTTTTGTTTTTAAAACAACTTTCTGGGCTGGGCACGGTGGCTCACGCCTGTAATCCCAGCACTATGGGAAGCCGAGGCAGGCGGATGACTTGAGGTCAGGAGCTCAAGACCAGCCTGGCCAACATGGTGAAACCCCATCTCTACTAAAAATACAAAAAAATTAGCCTGGTGTGATGGCAGAAGCTTGTAATCCCAGCTACTCAGGAGGCTGAGACAGGAGAATCATTTGAACCTGCGGGGAGAGGTTGCAGCGAGCTGAGATCACGCCACTGCACTCTGGCGCCTGGGCGACAGAGCAAGACTCCATCAAAAAAAAAAAAACTTTCTATAGATACATAATATTTATGCATATTTATGACATACATGTGATAGTTTGATACATGCACAGAATGTATAATACTCAAATTAGGGTATTTAGGATATTCACCACCTCAAACATTTATCTTTTTTTTTATCTTTTCGAGACAGAGTCTCTCTCTGTCGCCCAGGCTGGAGTACAGTGGTGTGATCTTGGCTCACTGCAACCTCTGCCTCCCGAGTTCAAGCAATTCTTCTGCCTCAGCCTCCCAAGTGGCTGGGATTACAGGTGTGCGCCACCACACCCAGCTAATTTTTGTATTTTTAGTGGAGATGGGGTTTCACCTTGTTGGCCAGGCTGGTCTTGAACTCCTGACCTCAGGTGATCCACCCATCTTGGCCTCTCAAAGTGTTGGGATTACAGGAGTGAGCCACTGCACCTGGCTCATTTATCGTTTGTGTTGGGAATGTTTCAAATCTTCTCTTCTAGCTATTTTGAAATATACAATATATTGCTGTTAACTATAGTCACCCTTCTGTGCTATTGAACACTTGAACTTATTCCTTCTATCCAACTGTGTTTGTGCCCATTAACTATCCCACCCCTTCTAGCCTTTGATAACTGACTCTCTCTTTACCTTCATGAGATCTACTTTTTTAGCTCCTACATGAGTGAGAACATGAAGTTGTAAATAAAGTTTTATTCTAACACCGCCACACCTACTTGTTTACATATCAGCGATGGCTGCTTTCATGGTACAACAGCAGAGTGGGGTAGTCTCAGCAGAGATCCTACAGCCCACAAAGCTGGACGTGTTACTCTCTGGTCCTTTTGTTTTCTGCCCTCTGGTCTAGGAGTTTGCAGCTCTGGGCGTTTTTTGTTTTTTTTTTTTTTTTTTTTTGAGATGGAGTCTCACTCCATTGCCCAGGCTGGAATTCAATGGCGCCATCTCAGCTCACTGCAATCTCTGCCTCCTGGGTTCAAGCGATTCTTCTGCCTCAGTCTCCCAAGTAGCGGGGATTACAGGCGCCTGCCACCACGTCCAACTAATTTTTTATTTTTAGTAGAGATGGGATTTCACCATGTTGGTCAGGCTGGTCTTGAACTCTGACCTCAGATGATCCACCCACCTCGGCCTCCCAAAGTGCTGGGATGACAGGCGTGAGCCCGGCCGTTTTCTTTTTTGCTTGTTGTGCTTCCTGGAGATGCTCAGTAATTCTTACATTCTTTCCTGGATAGCTGGTCAATCATTATTTATTATTTCCTTGAATTGTTCTAGGAGGAAATGTGGGGTAGAAAGAGTATGGTGGGGTTCTTGGGCATGAATAATCCATAAATAAGTCAGATTTCTTTTTAAGACGAGAAACTTAATTTTATTGATATGGACGAAGAGCAAGGAAACACAGTATCTGCATCTCCAGATTTCCGATAACCTTGGCCAGCACGATCCCCCCTCCTTTAGTGGCCAGGGCTGTCTTCTTGCTACACTTTCAGTGCCGCATATTCATGAGATCCTGGGGGCTCCTGGGTGGTGTCTGAAGCTGCCTCAGACAGGGCGCTGGTGCTTAGCTCAGCATAGGTCACTCCTTGGGGGTCTGCCGTCTTTGGAGAAAATAGATGAATATTAGAACTGAGTGTTCAATATGGCAGCCACTAGCCACACATGGCTATTGACATTTAAGTTAATTACAATTAAATTTAATTTAAAACCCAGGTCCTCGGTCACACCAGATGCATTTCTTTTTCTTTTCTGTTTTTATAACCCTTTATGCCTGTGACATCAATGGATCTGCGTAAGCCTTTTTTCATTTTTTTTAAATTTTTATTTATTTATTTATTTTGGGACAGAGTCTGGCTCTGTCGCCCAGGCTGGAGTGCGGTGGCGTGATCTCGGCTCACTGCAACCTCCGCCTCCCGGGTTCAAGCCATTCTCCTGGCTCAGCCTCCTGAGTAGCTGGGATTACAGGCGCCCACTACCACGCCCAGCTAATTTTTTGTATCTTTAGTAGAGATGGGGTTTCACCATGTTAACCAGGATGGTCTCGATCTCCTGACCTCATGATCCGCCCGCCTCGGCCTCCCAAAGTGCTGGGATTACAGGCGTGAGCCACCGCGCCCGGCCCATGCATAAGCCTTTTAAATGGAGATTTTGGTTCCCATTAGGGGAGTTTCGTGACTTGTCTAAGACCACATGCGTGATAAACAGTATACATTTCTGTATGGGCTTAACCAGGAGGCACACACGACCAGCCCATTGTGGTGAGGGAGCTCTTGTGGGACTCCTAAGCGGGAGGACTCACCGAGAGAGATACCCTTTCCATATTGGATAAATCTGCCTCTGAGTGAGAAAGGAAAAAAAAAAATCAGTTCTCAGCTGCAGAAGTCAGAACTTAGTCTTTCTATCCGGTGATTCCCTTAAACTTCCCCTGTCCCTTACCGGCAGCCTCCTGCTCCGGAAGTTTGGAATGGCTGGTTCTGAAAGAGAGAGACACACGTGAAAGGATGGGATGTGAAGATTTCGGGGAGAGGGTGAGGGCAATGGAGGGGAGAGGAAGGGAGAAGAAGGGAGAGGAGGAAGGTCACAGAATGGGCTGGGGTGGGGGCTCAGGGTGCCAATCCCGGATGTGCCAATGGGTTCCCTTGAGAATGACATGGGAATAAGTGGAGCATGAGCTATGCCAAGCATCTACCTCTTGGTGGATTCCTCAGATGATGAACCTACAAAAAATGCAGGAGGAATTTACCTACCGAGAAAATCCTTCACTCCCCCTCTCTCCCTTTGCGTTCTCTGAGCTCACTGTGCTGGCTGCATCTGTAGATGATGAAGACTGAGAGGAAGAGGAGAAGGATGGAGATGCAGCTGAAGATGGCGACAAAGATGGTTCTGGTGTCTGGAGGGGGAAGAGCAGGTCAGGGAATCAGCCTGGCTCCTGAAATCCACTGATAGGGGCGAGCCGAAAAGCTAAGAGAAGCCAGACAGATGGCCTGGCTTCCAAGCCTGGATCTCCCACCTCGGAGCTGGAACTTCCTATTGCTTTGGGGAATTTCCTTAATCTTCTCCAAGCTTCTGTTTCCCCATCTGTAAAGTGAGGATAGCAGCAGTAGCTACTTTATTGGATGGTGGGTCAGTACCTATAGAAAGGGCTGGAACAGTGCTTGGCGCATAGGAAATTCCAAAAATTCCCAGGGAATGTTTGGTGCATAGCAATGATATTGATCATTTATTGTGAGCCAGCTCTGTTCCAGGTGCTCCATATATATATATACGTGTGTGTGTGTGTATATATATATATAAATGTATATATATGTGTGTGTATATATAAATGTGTATATATATATATATATATATATATATATATACATATATATATATATATACACACTTTTTTTTTTTTGAGATGGAGTCGTGTTCTGTCACCCAGGCTGGAGTGTGATCCTGGCTCACTGCAACCTCCACCTCCCTGGTTCAAACAATTCTCCTGACTCAGCCTCCTGAGTAGTTGGGATTACAGGCGTGAGCCACCACATCTGTCTGTGTAATCACTGTCTGAAATCCACTGATGGGGTGAGTAGAAAAGCTAAGAGAAGCCAGACAGATGGCCTGGCTTCCAAGCCTGGATCTCCCACCTTGGAGCTGGAACTTCCTTGGAGCTGGACATTTCGACCAATAGACTTTGAGTAAAGCAGATGACCCACTGTCATAGGGGTGGGCCTCATCCAATCAGTTGAAGACTTTAAGACTTTAAGAGAAAAGACTGAGGTCCCCCAAGGTGGAAGGAATTCTGCCTCCAGACTCAAGCTGCAATATCAAGTCTCCCCTGGATCCCCTGCCTGCCTGCCCTGCAGATTTCAGACTTGCCAGCTCCCCACAATCACGTGAACCAATCCATTAAAATCAATCTCTCTCTCCATATATGTATATACATGTATATGTTCTCTTTTTTTTTTTTGAGACAAAGTCTCACTCTTATCGTCCAGGCTGGAGTGCAATAGTGCAATCTTGGCTCACTGCAAGCTCCGCCTCCCGGGTTCAAGCAATTCTCCTGCCTTAGCCTCCTGAGTAGCTGGGATTACAGGTGCCCACCATCACGCCCGGCTAATTTTTGTATTTTTAGTAGAGACGGGGTTTCGCCATGTTGGCCACGCTGGTCTTGAACTACTGACCTCAGGCAATCTGCCTGCCTCGGCCTCCCAAAGTGCTGGGATTACAGGCGTGAGCCACCACACCCAGCTTATATCTATATGTTCTATTGGTTCTGTTTTTCTGGAAAACCCTGGCTAACACAGACATGATCTCAGCTCTTAACTTCAAACATATTTCCTTTTTCTTTTTTTAAAGGAGAGAGAGAGATGTGAAAGGACGGGATGTGAAGATTATGGGGAGAGGGTGAGGGCAATGGAGGGGAGAGGAGGGGAGAGGAGGGAGGTCACAGATGGGAGCTCAGGATGCCAATCCCAGATGTGCCAATGGGTTCCCATTGTTGCCCAGGCTAGAGTGCAGTGGTGTGATCATACTCGAATTCCTGGGCTCAAGTGGTCCTCCTCACTCGGCCTCCAGGGTAGCTGGGAGTACAGACCACCACGCCCAGCCAACTTCAAACACACTTCAATGAGCTCGTTGATGCCAGGTAATGAACAGCAGTGACACGGGCATGGAAGGCGTTTAGAGTGGGGAGGGGTGGGGCTCTCTGAAGGAGACATGATTCCCCAAGACACAGAACAAGGGATCAGCTGGGAGAATTCAGGGAGGATTCCTAATAAGAACAGGGTTAGAGCAGGGTAGAAAAGAATGACCAGTGGCCGGGCACGGTGGCTCACGCCTGTAATCCTGGCACTTTGGGAGAGTGAAGTAGGTGGATCACTTGAGGTCTGGAGTTCGAGACCAGCCTGGCCAACATGGTGAAACCCTGTCTCTACTGAAAATATAAAAAATAAGCTGGGCATGGTGGCGCACGCCTGTAGTCCCAGCTACTCAGGAGGCTGAGAGAAGAGAATTGCTTGAACCTGGGAGGCGGAGGTTGCAGTGAGCCGAGATCGCATCACTGCATCATACACTCAACTGACCAAGACTCCAACTCAAAAAAGCATCCCTCTCAGGAGATAAAATTTCTACCAATTAAAAAACAAAAACAAAACAAAACAAAAAAAACTAGTTCTTGAGCAATATTGCCATGCAAGTCTACATCATAGCGTTTTAAAGTCTTAACAACAACCCTGCAAGGTAGTACAATTATTTCCCTCCCACTGGTGAAGGGCATGCATTCCCGTGTGACTCCTGGGATTACAGCAAGGGTTGTGTCCAAAGCTCACAGCGTTGAGGAAGAGAGAGCAACCTGTTACTAAAGCTAGGCGACAGAGTCCATGCAGTTCCCCCCCGTTTTTTGTTTTTCTTGGCACTTTAGATTCAAGAAACACAAGTCGTGAGACTTTAAGGAGTAAGTAGCAGAAACGTGATTAAGGAAAAAAGTTGAGCAACTATAGAAGTGAGGCCCCAGAAAGGGGCTTCACCAAGACCCCCGCTATCTTTGTTAGTGTGCTTTGAGTCTGAGAATTTTTCCTAGGTGTGCAATGATCTGTGGTCACATTACAGAGCCAAGTCTGAGATGCTTCACACGCCTGGTCCTCTGCACCAACAGAGGGTCTCCCATCCAGACGCTTCCCCTACTTGGTTCGCTATGTTTGCATTGGCATTTCTACATATCTATATATAGAGAATTACCTATCTAATTTATCTATCTCGCTAATCTATCTACCATCTGTCTAGGTATCTATTATCTATCTACCTATCTATCTTTATCTGTCTCTGTACCTACTTACCTATCATCTATCCAATCTATCCGTCCTATCTAATTATGATTTATCTATCTACCTACTTGCCTATCACCTATCCAATCTATCTATCCTATCATATGTAATTAACTATCTGTCTGTCTAATTTTTCTATCTTGTTAATCTATCACTTATCTAGGCATCTATGTATCTATCTTTATCTGTCTATCCACCTGCTTACCTGCTGTCTGTCTAATCTATCCATCCTATCATATCTAATTATCACTTATCTATCTACCGACTTACCTATCATCTAGTTACCAAATCTATCATCTATCTAATGTATCTATCAATCATAACCAGTTATCTATCATCTATCATCTATCATCTGTATGTATCTGTCTATTCACCTACTATTATCTATTTAATCTATTCTATCTAGTTATCTATCTATCTATCCACCTACTTATCTAATTTTTCTATCTTGCAACTCTATCACCTATCTAGGTATCTATGTATCTATCTGTGTATCTGTATATCTATCTATCTATCTAGCTAGCTTTATCTAGCTACCTAGTTACCTATCATCTATCTATCTAATCTATCATCTATCTAATGTATCTATCAATCATATCTAATTATCTGTCTATCTAATCATCTATCTTATCTATTATATCTAGTTATCTATCATCTAGCTAGCTAGCTAATCTATCTGTATCTATCTACCTACTTACCTATCGTCTATTTATCTATCTAATCTATCATATCTAGTTATCTATCTACTTACTTATCTAACCTGTTGTATCTAGTTATCTATCTACCTACTTACCTATCATCTGTCTATCTATCTAATCTGTCCATCGTATCTAGCTACTTATCTACCTATCATCTATGTATCTATCTAATCTATCATATCTAGTTATCTATTTATCTGCCTACTTGCCTATTATCTATCACATCTAATTATCTATCTATCCCCCTCCCTGAAATAAGGTTCTTTCTGAGCTGATCATCAGGGAGCAGCAAAAGGAGTGGGGAGTTTGAAACAAGACATATTTGAGTTCTAGTACTGGGTCTCCTACCTCCTGACTTTGTAAATGTTCCCTTCCCTTTCTGGAATACGTTATTTTTTGGTTAAATATAAGGAGGGGGCAGAGAGCTAATAATATCTAACTTGAAGAGTTAGGTAATGATGAAAAATCCTGGCTTTAAAGCGCTCAGTCTAGAAACTGACTCATTGTGTCGGATAATGGGATTGTAGGTATAATGATGATTTTTTTTCACCCAATATTCCACCTACACCCATCTCTCTCTGTAATAGATTCTGTCAATGTTCCTCAACCCATGTTCCCCAGATCCCTTTCCCATTTTTATGCATTCTAGATCGTGGCTTCTTTCCCTTTCCAAAGTGAACATTTGTATCTCTTCTTTGGGGGACTGCCTGGGAGAACTCCAAATGCCTTGGAATTTACATGCCCGGGACAAACTGCCACTGACGGCTGTGGGGACCCCAGCTCCCTAGCCTCTGGTCTTCGACCTTCTCTGTCTCCACTGCTTTCTGCAGGATGGAGCCAAAGATACCATCTGAGGGACACAGATATCCCACACTTGTTTAATCTATTTTCCTCCCAGCCCTTCTTCCCCACTCCCTAAAATGTAATTTTCAAGCCAGGCGTGGTGGCTCACACCTGTAATCCCAGCACTTTGGGAGGTCGAGGCAGGCAGAGCACCTGAGGTCAGGAGTTCGAGACCAGCCTGACCAACATGGAGAAACCCCGTCTCTACTAAAAATAGAATATTAGCTGGGTGTGGTGGTGCATGCCTGTAATCCCAGCTATTTGGGAGGCTGAGGCAGGAGAATCTCTTGAACCTGGTAGGCGGAGGTTGCAGTGAGCCAAGATCACGCCATTGCACTCCAGCCTGGGCAACAAGAGCGAAACTCTGTCTCAAAACTAAATAAATAATAAATAAAATAAAACGTCACTTTCACACTAATGCTGTCTAAGAGCCTGCTTCTGGTGGAGCTGAATCAGAGAACCCCTCAAAAGCAACAATTTTTTTTTTTTTGAGACAGTCTCACTCTGTCTCCCAGGCTGGAGTGCAGTGGTACAATCTCGGCTTTGGAACCTCCCCCTCTGGGGTTCAAGCAATTCTCCTGCCTCAGCCTCCCAAGGAGCTGGGATTACAAGCACCCGCCACCTCACCCCGCTAATTTTTTATATTTCTAGTAGAGATGAGGTTTCACCATGTTGGTTAGGCTGGTCTCAAACTCCAGAGCTCAAGTGTTCTGCCCACTTTGGCCTCCCAAAGTGCTGGGATTACATAAGCCACCATGCCTGGCCATAAGCAACAATTCTATCAGTGCATCTCCAAGGACTTATGAAAACAGGGCAGGAACAGCTGCTCCTGGACTCTCAGTTTCCCCAGATGGAAGCAGAGAAACAGCAGCCTTGCCTTGTCCTTTCTGTTCTCCCCTTTTCCAGCCTACGGTATCTTTCACACAGCAATTCACTAGAAATGAGAAGTACATTATTGCAAAATTCTCATCTTCATATGACCCCATAATCAGCTGAACTGGGTTCACCCTGAGATGTCCACAGATCCTGGCCAAATGTTGCATCAGTATTTGCAAATTGCCAGAATAAATCATAACTTGCTACGCTACTAAAGTCAGCGTGAGCAACAAGATACAGCCTGACACGGGGCATAAATGGAGGCACAGGCACCAGAAAGAAAGTCAAGTCTTGTGTGATAAAATTCATCTTCATTCTCTACATTGCGATTGAACATAGAGTCGTTTTCTAGTGTGTTTTAGGCATATAAATACAGGCTGGGGACATCATACCTGTGCTTACAGATATTTTACTTTTATTTTATTTATTTACTGAAACAGGGTCTCGCTCTGTCACCCAGGCTGGAGTGCTGTGGCGCAATCACAGTTCACTGAAGCCTCAACCTCCTGGGCGCAAACGATCTTTCTGCCTGAGCCTCCCAAGTAGCTGGGACTACAGGTGCACACCACCACGCCTGGCTAATTTTTGTATTTTTTGTAGAGATGGGATCTTACCAAGTTGTCCAGGCTGGTCTTGAACCCCTGGGCTCAAGTGATCCTCCTGCCTCATCTTCCCAAAGTCCTGGTATTACAGACGTGAGCCACTGCGCCCGGCAAAGATATTTTATTCTGTTTAGAATTGTGATGATACAAATTTGAACTCAAAAAGTACATTTTAAGAAATTATATAATACCCACTGGGATGGCTATAATTTAAAAAAAGAAAAGTAAGTGTTGACAAGGATGTGGAGATATTGGAACCCACATATATTACTGGAAGGAATATAACATGATACAGCCACAATGGAAAATGATTTGGCAGTTCCTCAAAAAGTTGAACATAATAGTCACCATATGTCCTAGCAAATCCACTTCTAGGTACATACTCAAGATAATTTACAGCGCGGAGACAAACAGATACTCCTACCACAGTGTTCCAGCACCATTACTCGCTTTAGCCAAGAGGTGCAGACAACACAAATGTCCATCAAAAGAAGAACGGGGCCAGGCACAGTAGCTCAAGTCTGTAATCCCAGCACTTTGGGAAGCTGAGGCGTGTGGATCACCTGAGGTCAGGAGTTCGAGACCAGCCTAGCCAACATGGTGAAACCCCCTCTCTACTAAAAATACACAAATTAGCTAGGCATGGTGACGGGCGCCTGTAGGTCCAGCTACTCAGGAGGTTAAGGCAAAAGAATCACTTAAACCTGGGAGGCGGAGGTTGCAGTGAGCTGAGATTGTGCCACTGCACTCCAGCCTGGGCGACAGAGCAAGACTCCGTCTCAAAAAAACAAAAACAAAAACAAAAAAAAGAATGGATAAGCAAAATGTGGTCTATCCATACAATACGATGCTTTTCACCATGACAAGAAATGAAACATTGATGCATGCTACAGTACAGACAAACTTTGAAAACATTATGCTAAAGAGAAAGGAGCTAGTCACAAAGGATCACATAGTGTATGAATCCACTTACACAAAATGTCCAGAATAGACAAAATCATAGACACAGAGAAGCATATGAATGGTTGGAAGGGCCTGGTGGGAAAGTGGGAAATGAGGAGTGACTGCTTAATGGGTACAAGATTTTCTTTTAGGGTGATGAGAATGTTCTGGAATTATGTAGTGGTGATGGTTATACTACCTCATGAAGATACAAAATGCCAGTGAATTGGACACTTTACAAGGGTGAATTTTTGGACTGTGAATTATATATCAATAAAAAAAGAAAGAAAATAAATGATACAAGAGCTCAAAATAGAAAAGCTTCTCTTCCTCCTCCCCCTCACACCTCACTAGATCTCCCACCTCGTTTCTGATACTTCTGTGTTCCTCTCTCCCATTAGATTTCATATCTTTCTCAGAAAACGTTCCTGACGTGAATTGTGTTCGTAGTGCTAGGGTAGCAGACATTTCCCAAGCCTACTATCATGGAATAAAAACGTTTCAAATAGTTATCTTGCAAGAACACTTTGGAGGATACCTTTTTGAAAACCGATTATACCAGCACAGACTGCTAGCAACAACCTTCAGCAACTTTGGCTCTTTGGAGTAGGTTGCAGGAAGATTATGACTTGCTGAAAGGAAGGATGATTAAGCATCTAGATGCCAATTTATATTCTGCATTTGGCCCTTAAAGTCTGGATGAGTTCCTGTTTCAGCCGAATGCTGCCAAAAGCTCTAACTTTTTAATTTTTTTTTTTTTTTTTTTTTTTTGGAGACAGAGTCTCACTCTGTTGCCCAGGCTGGAGGGCAGTGGTGTAATCTCGGCTCACTGCAACCTCTGCCTCCCAGGTTCAAGCAATTCTCCTGCCTCAGTCACTTGAGTAGCTGGGAATACAGGCGCCCACCACAATGCCCAGCAAATTTTTGTATTTTTAGTAGAGACAGGGTTTCACCATGTTGCCCAGGCTGGTTTCGAACTCCTGACCTCAGGTGATCCGCCCACCTCGGCCTCCCAAAGTGCTGGGATTACAGATGTGAGCCACCTCGCCTGGCCCAAAAGCTCTAATTTTTATGAGAAACTCTGAGGACAGAATCTTAGTCAATTGTTAATGAATAAGCAACATTAGAAAAAAAATTCAATATTCACCTATTTTTGAGAATTTTAGAGTTATAACAAACTCTTGATTATATATATTCCTGAAGTACCTACTCTGCGTAGGTCCTGGTCCTACTCCCCAAATGGGTCACTGAAAAATTCACCCCCATTATTCCCCAAATCCCACCCTAGTTTTTCATCATGTCATATGGCAAACAACGCACTCTGTGCTGTTTTACACACCAGCTTCTTCAGAACCCGGAAGCACTTTAGAGGTTATCTCCCCTCATCCTCCACCCCCCAAAACACAGCAGTTTCCCCAATAACATTGAGAAAATGGGCTTTAAAGTTCTTCTAGGCCGGGTGCGGTGGCTCATGCCTGTAATCCCAACACTTTGAGAGGCCGAGGCGGGGGAATTGCTTGAGGTCAGGAGTTTGATACCAGCCTGGCCAACATGGTGAAACCCCATCTCTACTAAAAACAAAAAACAAAAAACAAAACTGAGCTGGATATGGTGGTGGGTGCCTGTAATCCCAGCTATTCGGGAGGCCGAGGCAGGAGAATTGCTTGAACCCAGAACCCAGGAAGTGGAGGTTGCAGTGAGCTGAGATTGTGCCACTTCACGCCACCCTGGGGGACAGAACAAGACTCTTTCTCAAAAAAATAAATAGGCCGTGTGCGGTGGCTCACGCCTGTAATCCCAGCACTTTGGGAGGCTGAGGCGGGCAGATCACAAGGTCAGGAGTTCGAGACCAGCCTGGCCAACATGGTGAAACCCCGTCTCTACTAAAAATACAAAAATTAGCTGGGTGTGGTGGTGCGTGCCTGTAGTCCCAGCTATTCGGGAGGCTGAGGCAGGAAAATTGCTTGAATCCGGGAGGCGAAGGTTGCAGTGAGCTGAGATTGCGCCACTGTACTCCAGCCTTGGTGACAAAGCGAGACTCTATCTCAAAAAACAAACAAACAAACAAACAAACAAATAAATAAAGTTCTCCTTGTGCACTTTAAGCAAAGGTGATCATGAAGCAGATCTCATTGGGAAAAACATCTCCTTTCTAATTATCTTACCTGTTTTCATTGAGGGAGCTTCAAGTTCATCGTGTTTATCTAGAAAATAGGAGGGAAGAAAAGGAATTACACTAATCATACAGGAACCTTGGGGACAGGAGTCCTCACGTCCTACTTATAGACATCCTGTTCTTCTTTGGGAAGCAGAAAAGAGAATGGCTTCTCCATTCCCTAGATGCTCCCTGGGTCCTCAGAGCATGGACAGAGCCTCAGATTACTCTTCTTAATAGTCCTGGAGTTTGATAGTATTTTTAATAACAAAAATATTTATGAATGACCCTGCTAACGCCCCCTCCAGTTTGATTCCTTGCCAGTCTTCTCTATCTTGACAAAGAACACCATTCACCCAAATTCTTTCTTTCTTTTATTTTTTTTGAGTCTTGCACTGTTACCCAAGCTGGAGTGCAGTGGCATGATCTCAGCTCACTGCAACCTCCGCCTCCCGGGTTCAAGAGATTCTCCTGCCTCAGCCTTCCAAGTAGCTGGGACTACAGGCGCCCGCCACCACACCCTGCTAATTTTTGTATTTTTAGTAGAGACAGGGTTTCACCATGTTGGCCAGGCTGGTCTCAAACTCCTGGCCTCAAGTGATCAACCTGCCTTGGCCACTCAGAATACTGGGATTCCAGGCATGAGCCACTGCACCTGGCCTATATTTCTATCTCCACAGTGGCACCATTTAGTCTAAGTTAAAATATCACCTACTTGGCCGGGCGCAGTGGCTCACGCCTGTAATCCCAGCACTTTGGGAGGCCGAGGCGGGCAGATCACAAGGTCAGGAGATCGAGACCATCCTGGCTAACATGGTGAAACCCCGTCTCTACTAAAAATACAAAAAGTTAGCCGAGCGTGGTGGCGGGCCCCTGTAGTCCCAGCTACTCGGGAGGCTGAGGCAGGAGAATGGCGTGAACCCGGGAGGCGGAGCTTGCAGTGAGCCGAGATCGCGCCACTGCACTCCAGCCTGAGGGACAGAGCCAGACTCCGTCTCAAAAAAAAAATAAAAATAAAAATAAAAATGAAATGAAATATCACCTACTCACCAGTCCCTGGCAACCACCAGTTGCTTCTGTGAGTTTGGCTTTTTTAGACTACACATATGAGTGAGATCCTGCAGAATTTGTCTTTCTGAGTCTGGCTTATTTTGTTTAGCATGATATATGCGGAGATGTTGATGAAAGGGTATAAGTTTCCAGTTCTAAGATGAAGAAGTTCAGGTGCTCAGCATGGTGGCAATGGATGTGCTAATTAATTTGACTGTGATAATCATTACACAATGTACAGGTGGATCAAATCATCAGATTGTATACCTTGAATATATACAATCTTCATTTGTCAATTTGATATTTTTAAAT
This sequence comes from Homo sapiens, assembly GCF_000001405.40. Classification (NCBI taxonomy): domain Eukaryota; kingdom Metazoa; phylum Chordata; class Mammalia; order Primates; family Hominidae; genus Homo; species Homo sapiens. The sequence goes on from NW_003571056.2 coordinate 27,129, forward strand.
TTAAAAAGTCGTATTGCCTGAAACGCACCAACTCTTACTACATCTAGTCCCTTATTTTCCAAAAGCAGCCAGAGGCCGGGCATGATGGCCTGTGCCTGTAATCTCAGATGCTTGGGAGGCTGAGGTGGGAGGATTACCTGGGCCTGGGAGGTCAAGGCTGCAGTGAGCTGTGATTGCACCACTGCACTCCAGCCTGGGCAACCGAGTGGGACCCTGTCTCAAAAAAAAAAAAAAAAAAAAAAGCAGCCAGTGACCCTTCCAGCATATAAATAAAATCATGCCATCCTCCAGCTCAACTTCATCAGTGGGTTCCTGTTCTTTCAAAGCAGACTCTAGGACCAGTTCAAACACCCACAAGATCCTAGATGCTCTAGGCCCTGCCTTATGTCCTCCTTTCTGTGTCTCAATCATTCCAGGAACACTCACACTTCTGAGACTTTGCTTTTGCTGCTCTCTCTCCCTGGAGGGCTGTTCTCCAGATATCGGTGTGGTTGGGTCATTCTCATCCTTCATGCTTGTGGCAGATAGACCCTAAGGGGGCACTCAGGAGACTCAGGAGCCCTGCTTCCTGGTGTTCATGCCTTTGTCTAATCCCCTCACCTTGAGTGTGGAGATCTGTGACTTTCTTCTCACCAATAGCTATGGCAAAGGTGATGGGATGTTATGCTCTTGATTATGTTACATTACATAAAACTCTGTTTGCTAGGGCATTTGCTCTCTCTTTCTTCTCTCTCTCTCAATCTCTCTTCTTGCAAGTGCTGCAGAATCATTCTAGCATGAATCCTACAGCTATAAAGAACCAGATATTGCTATCAACCACAGGAGTGGAGAAATGGACCCTTCCCCAGTCAAGCCTCCAGATGAGCCAGATGAGAACACAGCCCTTGTTGACACCTTGATTGCATCCTTATGAGACCCAAAGCAGAGGACTCAGCTAAGCTGTGCCTGGACTCCTGACCCACATCAACTGTGAGATAATAAATAGGTGTTTCAGGCTGCTAAATTAGTGGTAATTTGTTATGCAGCTGTAGATCACTAATACAATGCCTCTCACAGTTATTCTCCATCTATAATGTGTTTTTTAATTACTCTGATAGCTTGCTCTTATTTCTTTCTTTCTTCCAAAGAAGAATGTGAGCTCCTGTTGGCCAGAGACCTGGTCTGTCTCAGTTCCTACAATATGCTCAGGATCTACCAAAGTATCTGAATTTGTAGGGTGAATGGGCAGCTATTTTTGTGCCAGGTATTTTGCATTAATTTTTTTTTGTAATGGAAGCATTTATATGCCCATTTTGTAATAAGTAAAAAGTAGTATAATAAAAAAGTAAAAAGTAGTATAATAAAGTGATTTGCAAAGCAGCAAACAGATTGTATATGGAAGGCTGACCTGGAAAATCAACCACTGGAAATTGATACTATAGCCTGTCTTGTGATGTAATGGTACAGCTGCGATAGAGGTGAAGAAATCAGGAAACAGTAGATGATATGCCAGAGAACATAATTGGGAAATGGCAAATAATCGCGAGGCTTTTAGGGCTAAAGTGTGGGTGCAGAAATTCTTAAGACTACAAGAACGAGTTATGGGGAATACAATTTGAAATCAATATCAAAGTGATGAGCACCTTGTTGGAGTATCATTGATCAAGAGCCTCAGAAAGAGGGTAAATCAGAGGTGAAACATTAAGTATTCAGTTACTCATCATGCCCCAAGCCCAGGCTAAGTCATTGGTGTGGACCCACGGCTACTTCTACACTACACTGATGACTGTAAAGTCTCTCCAGGGATTTCCCATGATATGGCAGGACTGACCTACTGGAAGCAACTGTGGTCAGTTGAGAGGTATTGTTTAGTGACTAATAAATGAATGGATGAATGGATGGATGGATGGATGGATGGATGGATAGATGGATAGGTGGGTGGGGGTGAGTGAATGGGTGAAAGGGTGGATGAGTGGATGAATGGGTGGAAGGATGGACAAATGAGTGGCTGGGTAAATAGATGGGTAGGTAGGTAGATAGATGGATGAAGGGGTGGGTGGACAGATGAATGGAAGGGTTGGTGGTTGGATGGATTAATGGATAGATGAATGGATGGATGGATGGATGGATGGATGGATGGATGAGTTGATGGATAGATGGATAAGTGAGTGGATGGATGGGTGAATGAGTGGGTAGGAGGGTGGATGGGTTGGTAGGTGGGTAGATGGGTGGGTGGGTTGATAGATGGGTGGGTAGATTGATAGATGGATGGGTGAGTAGATAAATGGGTAGATGAAAGTGATGCAAAATTATTCTTTATCCCTCTTCCTTGGGATCTCAAGTCATGTATGTTACAATCCTCCCACGTGCATCTTCTCACTGTGGTCCTCATCATTTTTTTTTCAGTTACCTGCACCGTGCCTCCCATACTTTTCCACACAATGGGATCTCTTAGCCCCACAATCCATTATTTGCCATTCCTACATCCCTCATAGAGCACTGGACACTCTTTCTGGCTTTCCTTCTCTGGCATAATGAAATATAAATTTTCATTTATGTCTGAATAGCAACTGTGAAGCTCATTGTTTTTGTGACACCGGGGAGGTCACCTAATCTCTATGAGCAAAAAGAAGTTAGTAACACAACCACCCTCATAGGAAGTGAAGACTGAATGAGTTAGTGGAGGCAAGTTACCTGTCGTGGAGACAGGAACATAGAAAATGCTGGATACATGTCAAATGCCAGTGTTATCACTCTATCCTCACCTGTCACCCAGATCTCCAGCTTGTTGCTGGGGAAGGAGGCCAAGTGTGATGAGTTGCTCAGGTAATACACACAGCTGTAGTTTCCACTGTCATTACTTGTCACGTTCCAGAGCATGAAATCAGTCTGGTTTTTTCTTACTTGCCTGACTTGTAATGGTTCTGGGATCCCCATTTTCAACAGAGCAATTACAATACATTCGGTTCCATTGTATGGAGTGAGACATCGAAGTGTCCTGAGACCTGGAGTCATCCCAGGGTCTACATTGACTGAGAGCAAAGGTTCTGGGAGTGATCCTGAAGAGGACAAGGCAATGGAGGTAAAGAGAAGGGCCAGGGCTTTTCCATTTTCTACTGCACTTGGGGACTATCTCATCCATCTCTCCGTATTAACCATGTCTTTCATCTTCTGCATTTGATGCTTTAACATCTTGGGGCCTTGCTGCCCTTGGTGGGACCTCCCCTCGCAGGGTTAGTTAATTTCTAGAGCCAGTAAACAACTTGTCCTCAAGGATGTCCCTCAAATGCAAGCCAATAGATCCAGAGCCCATACTCTCAACCACCTTAATTATGGGGCTCTCACACTCAAGGTCAATGTTGTCCTCTCCTAATCACCCCAGGTCCAAGAACTAGACAACCAGGGACAGCCTCTACACCCCAAAGCCAATTCTTTTTTTGTTTTTCTTTTCTTTCTTTCTTTTCTTTTCTTTTCTTTTTTTTTTTTTTTTTTTTTTTTTGAGACAGGTTCTCATTCTATCACCCAGGCTTGAGTGCAGTGGCACGATCTTGGCTCACCGCAGCCTCTGCCTCTGGGGTTCAAGCAATTCTCGTGCCTCAGCCTCCCGAGTAGCTGAAAGCACAGGTGCACACCACCACACCCAGGTAATTATTGTATTTTTGTAGAGATGGAGTTTCGCCATGTTACCCAGGCTGATGTCAAACTCCTGACCTCAGGTGATCCACCCTCCTAGGCCTCCCAAAGTGCTAGGATTACAGGCATGAACCACCACACCTGGCCAACTCTAATCTTGTTCTCCCCACAAAATACAATCAAAGCTCTGGTCCACAGTTCTTCCTCCTCCCTCTGCCCCTCATTGACCCTGGTGCTTCCCCACATACTCCCCCCAGTATAGCCTTCCTCCTCCTCTTGGGAACTGTAACAGACCATCTTTTCCATGGCAATCATCACTTGGTCTGTCAGTCTTACCATACCCCAATTTTCTATTAACTGACCATATTCTACACCACCCTCCCACATCCACATCATTGGGACCCTCTCAGAATCTCTGATGAGAATCTTGCTCCACATTCGGTTCCCATTTCCACATTGAAGGTGTTGCATCTATCCTTCTTCTTCTTTTTTTTTTTTAGACGGAGTCTTGCTCTTTCATCCAGGCTGCAGTGCAGTGGCACAATCTCAGCTCATTACAACCTCTGCCTTCTGGGCTCAAGAGATTCTCTTCCTGCCTCAGCCTCCCTAGTAGCTGGGATTACAGGCGCCTGCCACCACGCCCAGCTAATTTTTGTATTTTAAGTAGAGGTGAGGTTTCACCATGTTGGCCAGGCTGGTCTCGAACTCCCGACCTCAAGTGATCTGCCCACCTCTGCCTCCCAAAGTGCTGGGATTACAGGCATGAGCCACCGCGCCGTGCCTGGCCTGCATCTATCTTTTTGTCTCCTAGATTCCTTCTTCCCCAGCCATGTCCCACGACAGGAAAAGAAATACGTGCATCAGGCAGGCTTTGGTGACTCACGCCTGTAATCCCAGCACTTTGGGAGGCCAAGGCAGGAGGATCACCTGAGCTCAGGAGTTCAAGACCAGCCTGGGCAACATAGATCCTGTCTCAACAAGTAATTTAAAAATTAGCCAGGCATGGTGGTGCTTGCCTGTACTCCCAGCTACTTGGGAGGCTGATGTGGGAAAATCGCTTGAGCCTGGGAGGTCGAGGCTGCAGTGAATTGTGTTCATGCCACTGCACTCCTGCCTGGGTGACAGAGCGAGATTCTGTCAAAAAAAAAAAAAGCAGCCGAGCGCAGTGGCTCACTCCTGTAATCTCAGCACTTTGGGAGGCTGAGGTGGGCAGATCACTTGAGGTCAGCAGTTCGAGATCAGCCTGGCCAACATGGTAAAACCCTGTCTCTACTAAAATACAAAAATTAGCCAGGTGTGGTGGCGCACCCCTGTAGTTCCAGCTACTCGGGAGGCTGAGGCAGGTGAATTGCATGAACCCAGGAGGCGGGGGTTGCAGTGAGCTGAGATCATGCCACTGTACTCCAGCCTGGGCAACAGAGCAAGACTCCCTCTCAAAAAAAAAAAAAAGGCTGGGTGTGGAGGTTCACGTTTATAATCCCAGCCCTTTGGGAGGCCGAGGCAGATGGATCACTTGAGGTCAGGAGTTTGAGATCAACCTCACCAATATGGTACAACCTCATCTTTATTAAAAATACAAAAATTAGGCCGGGCGCGGTGGCTCATGCCTGTAATCCCAGCACTTTGGGAGGCGGAGGCAGGTGGATCACAAGGTCAGGAGATGGAGACCATCCTGGCTAACATGGCGAAACCCCATCTCTACTAAAAACACAAACAATTAGCTGGGCGTGGTGGCGGGCGCCTGTAGTCCCAGCTACTCGGGAGGCTGAGGAGGGAGAATTGCTTGAACCCAGGAGGCAGAAGTTGCAGTGAGCCGAGATCGTGCCACTGCACTCCAGCCTGGGAGACACAGCAAGACTCTGTCTTAAAAAAAAAAAAGCAAAGCCAAACCAAAGAAATGTGTGCATCAAAGAGTACATCTGCCCTTCTCACCTGTGACCACCAGCTGCAAGTGTTCACTGCTTTCTGACCACTCATGGGAGGCTGTTGTCTTGTAGGCACAAAAGTACCTCCCAGCATCCTTAGGCTTCAGGTCCGTGAAGGGGAATTCAGCTTCGTTTTCTGCCGAGCTCTGTTCCTGCTTGTACCCAGAGTCGTTCACCTTGCGCAGCACAAATGTCACATTCTGGGAATGAGCCTGACACTTCAGGGTCACATTGCTCTCGGCTTCAACCACCGAGCTGGGCCAGGCGTGGAGGGAGGGCTTGGGCGGTTTCTCTGGAAACAATTCAGAGTTAATTTGAGTCTAGAATTCAGACGATTAAAGGAAAAGGTCATGAAGCGTGGGATGCAGGAATAAAAGTTTAAGTAGGAGAAAACTCACCATTCTTTTTCTCATCTTCGTAGCCCAGACACAGCCCTGGAAGAGAAATCTCAATGAGAGAAAAATTATGTGCTTGTCCTTGAGTACAAATCCAGCAGAGAACGTATGACTAGCTCTTTATAGGTCTGAGATATATATATATATATAATGTATATATGTATTATATATAATAAATGTATTAAGTATATGTACACATATTACATATAATACATATATAAATATAATATATATATTAAATATATGTATTACATATATGTATATATTTTTGGCAGATATCTCCCCAGACTTACCTCTTACTTTTGTTCCATTGTTTGTCATTCAGAAGCTACGTGTATGGAGAAAATTCCAGCAACTTCTTCTTTCTTTTTTTTTTTTTTTTTTTGAAATGTAGTCTTGCTCTGTTGCACAGGCTGGAGTGCAATGACATGATCTCAGTTCACTGCAACCTCCGCCTCCCAGGTTCAAGCAATTTTCCTGCCTCAGCCTCCCGAGTAGCTGGGACTACAGGCACCCGCCACCACACCTGGCTAATTTTTGCATTTTTAGTAGAGACAGGGTCTCACCATGTTGGCCAGGCTGGTCTTGAACTCCTGACCTCAGGTGATCCACACGCCTCGGCCTCCCAAAGTGCTGGGATTACAGGCGTGAGCCACTGCCCCCGGCCCAGCAACCTTTTCTGATGTATTGAATTGCTTTCATGAGTAATCCTTTCACCATCTAGAAATTGTTCAACATTCACCTATGCTTTTTTCTGGTATTTTCTGTGATTGCAGTGTTTTGTTTTGTTTTGAGACAGAGTCTCGCTGTGTCACCCAGGCTGGAGTGCAGTGGTGCAGTCTCAGCTCACTGCAACCTCCTCCACCCCCTGGGTTCAAGTGATACTCGTACCTCAGGCTCCAGAGTAGCTGGGACTACAGGTGTGTGCCATCGTGCCCAGCTAATTTTTGTTGTTGTTGTTGTAGAGATGGGGTTTCACCATGTTGCCCAGGCTGGTCTCAAACTCCTGAGCTCAAGTGATCCACCCGCCTCAGCCTCCCAAAGCGCTGGGATTACAGGCATGAGCCACCGTGCCCGGCCTGATTGCAGTTTTACCCTTGCCACTTAAATAATGCAAAGGTTATTTTATCGTGGAGTGAGAGTGGTGGGTTTTTTTTTTTTTTTTATTTTTCGAGATGGAGTCTCGCTCTGTCACCCAGGCTGGAGTGCAGTGGCGCGATCTCGGCTCACCGCAAGCTCTGCCTCCCGGGTTCACGCCATTCTCCTGCCTCGGCCTCCCGAGTAGCTGGGACTACAGGCACCCGCCACCAAGCCCAGCTAATTAATTTTTTTGTATTTTTAGTAGAGACGGGGTTTCACTGTGTTAGCCAGGATGGTCTTGATCTCCTGACCTCGTGATCCACCCGCCTCGGACTCCCAAAGTGCTGGGATTACAGGCATCAGCCACCGCGCCCGGCCGAGAGGAGGGTTTTCTTGCTCAATTCCAATAGAGAGAATCTGCTCCCCCTTCCCCGTGTCTTCTGGTCCCAAATACTCTCCTCACTTTAGCTTTGGTTTCCACTTACATTATCCCCTCCCTCTTCTGTGTTCTGTTCTCTACATTCCCCGCTGGGAAGGTAGCGTCTTAAACTTGGGTGGAAAATGGGATGTCAGTCATGGGGCTTGTTTCAGGGTGAAGTTACGTAGAATTTAGGTAGAAATTCTCTAGAGCCACGACAGTGTCTCAGGACATTGGTTCCTTGTTGACACAGGTGCCGATACAGAACGTGACCCCCCACCAAGCTTCACCACAGAGGAATGAGGTGGAGGCCTCACGATGGACCGAAGCTGCGTTGGCAGCGAGATTAGCTGGGATTGGCAGGTAGGAAACAGCCTCTGGGTGGGCAGGGCATCCCAGGACTCAGGCTCTGTTTTGAGACCCTCCCCAAATCCCGCTTTTAGATTCATGTCATCTCATCTCTGCTATCCACCCATCGTCTGTTCAAACAGTGATTCCTATATTCTTTTTTCTTTTTGAGACAGGGTCTCACTCTGTGGCCCAGGCTGGAGTGCCAGGGTGCAGTCACAGCTCACTGCAGCCTCAACCTCCTGGGCTCAAGTGATCCATCCATCTCAGCCTCCCAAATAACTGGGACTACAGGCATGCACCACCACGCTGGCTGATTTTAAAATTTTTTTGTAGAGATGAGGACTCACGATGTTGCCCAGGCTGGTCTCGAACACCTGAGTTCAAGTGATTCTCCCACCTTGGCCTCCCAACATGCTGGGATTACAGGTGTGAGCTACCTGCACCCAGCCCAATTCCCATATTCTTTTTCTTTTCTTTTTTTTTTTTTTTTTTTGACATGGAGTCTCCCTCTGTCACCCAGGCTGGAGGGCAGCGGTGCTATCTTAGCTCACTGCAACCTCTGCCTCCCAGGTTCAAGCGATTTTCCTGCCTCAGCCTCCCGAGTAGCTGGGATTACAGGTCCTTGCCACCATGCCCAGCTAATTTTTGTATTTTTAGTAGAGACGGGGTTTCACCATGTTGGCCAGTCTGGTCTCAAACTCCTGACCTCAAGAGATCTGCCCGCCTGGGCCTCCCAAAGTCCTGAGATTACAGGCGTGAGCCACCACACCTGGCTGATTTGTGTTTCTTGAAAAGAGAAGTTCAAGTTGTAACTCCCAGGACCTGCGAATGTGACCTTATTTGAAAATAGCATTGTCTGATCTTTGCAGATGTAATTAATTAAACTAAGATGAGGTCATACTAGAGTAGGCTGGGTATCTAATCCAATATAACTTACAAGAAGAGAAAAAGAGAGACAGAGACACACAGAAGGAAGACGGCCATGCGAAGACAGAGGCAGAGAGGCCAGGCTGCAATCATAGTGCTTTGGGATGCCAAGATAGGAGAATTGCTTGAGCCCAGGAGTTGGAGACTAGCCTGGGCAATATAGCAAGATCCCATCTCTAAAACAGAAATTATTTTAATTAGTCCAACATGGTGGTGTGCACCTGTAGTCCTAGCTGCTCAGAAGGCTGCGGGGAGGACTGCTTGAGCTCAGGAGGTTGAGGCTGCAGTGAGCTATGGTGGTACCACTGCACTCCGGCCTGGGCAACTGAGTGAGACCCTGTCTAAAGAAAAGAAAAAAAAAAACAGAGCCAACGATTGGAGTGATGCATCTACAAGTTAAAGAATGCCGGGAGCGCTGGCTCACGCCTGTAATCTCAACAGTTTGGGAGGCTGAGGCGGGCAGATCACCTGAGGTCAGGAGTTCGAGGCCAGCCTGGCCAACGTGGTGAAACCCTGTCTCTACTAAAAATACAAAAATTAGCCAGGCATGGTGGTCCATGCTTGTAATCCCAGCTACTTGGGAGGCTAAGGCAGGAGAATTGATTGAACCCAGGAGGTGGAGGTTGCAGTGAGAAAGATCATGCCACTGCACTCTAGCCTGGGTGACAGAGCAAGACTCCGCCTCAAGAAAAAAAAAAAATGCCAAGAATTGTCAGCCATCACTAGAAGAGGGGCATAAAACAGACGCTCCTTCATAGTTCTCAGAAGGAATCAACATTGCAAACACCTTGGTTTCAGACTTCTCATCTCCCCAACTTAAAGCAATTCTAATTCCTTTAAGCCACCAGGCTTGTAGTACTTTGGTATGGCAGCCATTGGGGGATGAGGTCAGTCTCCTGGTTGCCCAGCTTACTGTGCTCAGCAGCTGGAGGCTTGGGTATGAACCCGATAGTCATCTCTAAGGCACAAATAGCCGGGTGCAGTGGCTCACACCTGTAATCCCAGCACTTTAGGAGGTTGAAGTGGGTAGATCACCTGAGTTCAGGAGTTTGAGACCAGCCTGGCCAACATGGTGAAACCCCATCTCTACTAAAAACACAAAAAATTAGCCAGGCGTGGTGGCGTGTGCCTATAATCCCAGCTTCTCGGGAGGCGGAGGCAGGAGAATCGCTTGAACCCAGGAGGTGGAGGTTGCAGTGAGCTGAGATCACACCACTGCACTCCAGCCTGGGAGACAAAGCAAGACTCTGTCAAAAAAAAAAAAAAATGCTCATCTAAGGTGCAAATGTGTGTAGGAGACGAGCATTACCCCACAAGGAAGGGCTGCACCCAGAAAAGGAGGAAGGAACTGAAGCAGACGAAGCACGTCGATGTCCACCGCACCCCCCGTGCACCAGGGAGGAACTGGGGCCTTAGGGAGGTGGAGCTCTGCTGGGTCAAGCCTAGAGTTTCTATGTAGTAAAGCCGAGATTATAACCCAGGTCATCCGTTTCACAGTGTGAGCTCTGTCTGAATACATCAGGTTCAATTGGAGGATGGTTAAAATCAGCCTAAGAATCGAGCTGGTCAGAAAATTGTCTTCTTGGGGCCAGGTGTGGTGGCTCACGCCTGTAATCCCAGCACTTTGGGAGGCTGAGGCGGGCGGATCACCTGAGGTCAGGGGCTCGAGACCAGCCTGACCAACATGGTGAAACCCCGTCTCTACTTAAAATACAAAAGTCAGCCGGGTGTGGTGGCCTGCACCTGTAGTCCCACCTACTCGGGAGGCTGAGGCAGGAGAATCGCTTGAACCTGGGAGACGGAGGTTGCAGTGAGCCCAGATCACGCCATTGCACTCCAGCCTGGGCTACAGAGTGAGACTCTGTCTCATAAATAAATGCATACATACATAAATAAATAAATAAGAGAGAGAGAGAAGAAAATTGTCTTTTTGCCCACAGCCTTGCACCCTGTAGATCCCTAAGCCCAGCCCTCCTCTATTCCGACGGAGGATGATGGCAGTACTGCGGTATTTAGCGGCTGCAGACTCGGAGACCCCACAGCAGCTCTGCCTTTCCCAGCGGAGTCTGTCCCCGTGTCTCTGCAGCGCGGCCTCCTCCTCGCTTGCATGTGGGCGGCAGAACTCACAGAACCCACAGCCCAGACCCACCCACCGCAGGTGTGCAACACCTGGAAGTCATTACTTCCACACACCGCATTTCCACCTGGACTGCCACTCCCACATGAGTTTTTCTCACCAGCCCAAGCCCATTCGTCCCAGTCCTGGAGACTCACCGAGGCAAAGCAGGGAGAGGAATTCTGCGGTCATAGCGTCCCTTCTGCCAGAACCAAGGCCCCGCCTTGGGTTTTACCCTTCAAAGGCGGAGCGGGACTGGGCCGGCCGCAGCTCTCCGGCTGCCCGGTTCGTCCCCAGGATGTGCAGATAGAGGAGGTTTTGCTCTGACACTCTGGTTCTCTGCCCCACTCTTGCAGTTTCCTTCTCACAACCGACTCAGGAAACAAGAAGCCGTCGATGATAACTTCTTCCCCATGAATCCGGTGTGTGTGGCCCCACCCGCCCGAGCTCTGTCCTACCTTATCTGAAGTTCTGCCAAGAGTTTTCTGTAAATGTAATTTTTTATTTTAAAACACTAATACCGGCCGGACGCGGTGGCTCACGCCTGTAATCCCAGCACCTTGAGAGGCTGAGGCGGGCGGATCACCTGAGGTCGGGAGTTCAAGACCAGCCTGACCAAAATGGAGAAACCCCCGTCTCTACTAAAAATACAAAATTAGCCAGGCATGGTGGCGCATGCCTGTAATCCCAGCTACTCCGGAGGCTGAGACAGGAGAATGGCTTGAACCCAGGAGGCGGAGGTTGCTGTGAGCCAAGATTGTGCCACTGCACTCCAGCCTGGACAACAACGGTGAAACTGTCTCAAACAAGCAAACAAACAAACATTAATACCTATAGCTTTATAGCTTCCGTGTACCCACTAGCCAGCTCCCCACAATGTTAACCTTTTTTTGGGGGGCGGGGGGGACAGAGTCTTGCTCTGTCACCCAGGCTGGAGTGCAGTGGCGCGATCTCGGCTCACTGCAACCTCTGCCTCATGGGTTTAAGGATTCTCCTGCCTCAGACTCCCAAGTAGCTGGGATTACAAGCATGCACCACCACACCCAGCTAATTTTTTGTAGAGATGGGATTTCACCATGTGGGCCAGGCTGGTCTTGAACTCCTGGTCTCTAGTGACCCGCCCACCTCAGCCTCCCAAAGTGCTGGGATTACAGGCATAAGCCACTGTGCCCGGCCAATGGTAATCTCTTATAATTACAGTACTTTTTTTTTTTTTTTTTTTTTTTGAGACAGAATCTCTGTCAGCCAGGCTGGAGTGCAGTGGCACAATCTTGGCTCACTGCAACCTCTGCCTCCCGGGTTCAAGCGATTCTCCTGCCTCAGCCTCCCGAGTTGCCGGGATGACAGGTGTCCGCCACCACTCTTGGCTAATTTTTTTTGTTCTTTTTAGTAGAAACGAGGTTTTGCCATGTTGCCCAGGCTGGTCTCGAACTTCTGACCTCAGGCGATCCGCCTGCCTCGGCCTCCCAAACTGCTGGGATTACAGGCGTGAGCCACCACGCCCGGCGTATGGCACATTTTCAAAACCAGAGACTTTGCACTGGCATCACACGTTTAACCAGGTTCCAGAGGTCACTCAGATCTCACCAGTTTGTGCATAATTCGTTTCTCTTTTTCTCTTCCTCTTCCTTCTATTTCTATTTCCTTTTCTCCTTTTCCTTCTTTTCTCCTGCTCTTCCTCCTCTTCCACCTTCTTTTCCTCCTCCCTTTTCTTTGCCTATGGGTATAGTTCTGTAACATTTTATTGCCTGTATGTATGGCTTTATAGAACCACCGCCACAATCAAGACACAGAACTGTCCCACCACCACGTAGGAACTCCCTCATGCTGCCCCTTTATAATCGCTCTCCCACCCTAGCACCTGCTAATCTGTTCTACGTCTCTATCACTTTGTCACTTTGAGACTCTTGTATAAATGGAATCGTCCATCGCCTCACCTTCTGAGGGTGACCTTTTTCACTCAGCACAATGCCTGTGAGATTCATTCAAATGGTTGTGTGTTATGATGATGGATACATTAGCCGGGCGTGGTGGCACACGCCCATAGTCCCAGCTACTCAGGAGGCTGAGGCAGGAGAATCGCTTGAACCCGGGAGGCGGAGGTTGCAGTGAGCTGAGATCACGCCACTGCACTCCAGCCTGGGTCACAGAGCAAGACTCCATCAAAAAAAAAGAATTATCTAATGGATACAATGTGTGTCACTGGGTTAGTGGATACCTGAAAGCCCTAACTTCATCATTTTGGAATCTATCCATGCAATAAAGTTACACTTGTACCCCATAAACGTATACAAATAAAAAATAATCGTCTGGGCATGATGACTTACCGCTGTAATCCCAGCACTTTGGGAGGCTGAGGCGGGATTACAGGTGTGAGCCACCATGCCCGGCCTATACTTTCTATCTTAATAACTACAAAAATAATAACTTGCTGGATGGGTCCCTGTGCCCACCCCGTCCTGTCCTAAGTGAGGAGGATGGGAAGAAAGCCATCGTCCTGTCCTGGTGCGGCTCTCAAACAGCTGGAAATGCTGGCTGCACAGGAAACTCTAAGGATCGGCAGCTCTAGCGCATGCTACCCTTGGCAGCTGTGTGGTCTGTGGATAGAGAAGGACCAACCTGTGGTTAGTGGAGGAAGAGGAGGAATATTGCTTTGATAAGCACATCCTCAGAGTTATAACAGAGGAGACAATAGTTATAAAATAAGAATGATATTTACGAAAAATAATAAGACTATTAACAAGAAACAGCAACAAATCTTGAAAACAAAATGTAACAACAAAACATAAATGTTGACTTTTTTTTTTTTTTTTTTTTTGAGACGGAGTCTCGCTCTGTCGCCCAGGCTGCAGTGCAGTGGTGAGATCTCGGCTCACTGCAACCTCTGCCTCCCGGGTTCCAGCAATTCTCCTGCCTCAGCCTCCTGAGTAGCTGGGATTACAGGCATGCACCACCACGCCCAGCTAATTTTTGTATTTTTAGTAGAGATGGGGTTTCACCATATTGGCCAGGATGGTCTCGATCTCTTGACCTTGTGATCCGCCCACCTCGGCCTCCCAGAGTGCTGGGATTATAGGCATGAGCCACAGCACCTGGCAACTGTTGACATTTTACATCTGCACCAGTAAGACTGGCTACCAATTACAAGCAAATGGATGCCATGGATAGAATGGAATTCCTGCCAAACTGGGTAAAATGTTGGAAACATATAAAATAAAATGTAAAAGAAATGTATTATAAATACAGGCTGGGCGTGGTGGCTCATGCCTGTAATCCCAGCACTTTGGGAAGCCAAGGTGGGCAGATCACTTGAGGTCAGGAGTTCGAGACCAGCCTCGCCAACATGGTGAAACCCCGTCTCTACTAACACACAAAAATTAGCCAGGCATGGTGGTGGGCGCCTGTAATCCCAGCTACTTGAGAGGCTGAGGCAGGAGAGTCACTTGAACCTGAGAGGGAGGTTGCAGTGAGCTGAAATTACGCCACTGCACTCCAGCCTGGGTGACAGAGTGAGACTCCCTCTCCAAAAAAAAAGAAAGAAAGAATGTATTATAAATACATATGACCAAGCACAGTGGCTAACGCCTGTAGTCCTGGCACTTTGGGAGGCCAAGATGAGAGGATCACTTGAGTCCAAGAGTTCGAGACCAAGTTGGGCCATATGGTGGAACCCGGCTTCTACAAAAAATACAAAATTTAGTCCGGCATGATGGCACACACCTGTGGTCCCAGCTACTCAGAAGGCTGAGATGGGAGGATTACTTTAGCCTGGGAGGTCGAGGCTGCAGTGAGCCGTGATCTAGCCACTACACTCCAGCCTGGGCGACAGAGTGAGACCCTGTCTCAAAATAAATAAATATAATAAATAAATAAATATGTATATCCCAATATTGGACTAAATGCTGGTCCAGAAGCACAAAATAGAAAGAACGGAGAGGAAGTATTAATAAATATTACACAGGAAGCAATGTTTTTCCCTTCGTGTGGAGGAAGAGTTCCCCGCAGGTGAGAGTCACCTACTACTCAATCTGACTCTGAAGTTTTAAGTATTGATTCAAGTTATCAAAAATGTATTAAGGGCTGGGCACGGTGACTCAAGCCTGCAATCCCAGCACTTTGGGAGGCCGAGGTGGGCTGATCACTTGAGCTCAGGTGTTCAAGACCAGCCTGGCCAACATGGGTGAAACCCCATCTCTACTAAAAGTACAAAAATTAGCTGGGCATGGTGGCAGGCGCCTGTAATCCCAGCGACTTGGGAGGCTAAGGCAGGAGAATCGCTTAAACCCAGGAGGTGGAGGTTGCAGTGAGCCGAGATCTTGCCATTGCACTGCAGCCTGGGTGACAGAGCGAGACTCCGTCTCAAAGAAAAAAAAAAAAAGTATTACGTGGCTCATTGTGCCCAATTCTGTCCTCTGTCCCCAGTGAAAAGTACAGGAAGAAGAAAGCCACCATCCTGCCCTACAGCAGATCCCAACAGAGCTGAGAGTGCAGGTTCCACAGAAAGCGGTTAAGGCTCAGCTGGTCCAACCCATCATTCCCTGGGCAGCTGTGGGATCTATGGCTAGAGAAGAACAGAGCTGAGCTTAGAGGGGAAGGAAGAGGAGGAAGATTGTTTTCTCCCGGCATCCAAACACAGCTTTTCAACCAGGGGGAGCACCACCCTCACTTCCCATCGCCCCATCCAGGGATATTTGAAAGGTATGAGAGTAGTGGCTTTTTTGTTGTTGTTGTTTCACAATAATTAGGTCTCCAACAGGTGTTCAATGGGAAAGGAAGTATTAGCAATGTCGAGTTACGTGTTCCTATAATGGACAAGACAGTCTCACATGGTGAAGGACTATTGCACTTTAAACACCATTTGTGGCCATGCCCGGTGGTGCACACCTGTAATCCCAGCACTTTGGGAGGCTGAGGCAGGTGGATCACTTGAGGCCAGGAGTTCGAGACCAGCCTGACCAATGTGGCGAAACCCCGTCTCTCCTAAAAATACAAAAAAATTAGCCAGATGGTGGCAGGTGCCTGTAGTTGCAGCCACTTGGGAGGCTGAGGCAGGAGAATCACTTGAACCTGGCAGGCGGAGGTTGCAATGAGCCGAGATCGCACCACTGCACTCTGGCCTGGGCGACAAAGCGAGACTCTGTCTCAAAACAAACAAACAAACAAAAAAACAAAAAATACCATTTGTGCCCATGTGGAGAAACGTGTGAAGTCCCCATGGTAGAGTCTGATGTTTAAAGAACCCCATATGGATTGAATGCACAGCAGGGCGGCTACAGTTCACAAGGCTGCACTGGGTAATTACAATTTGCTAAGAAGGTGGATCTTAAACAGAAAGGTCCATAAGCTAGATTGAGATAACCATTGTCACAATGAGTGAAATTTCTTCCTCGGCACACAATTAATTACTTAGTTAGTAGGAAAGTTCCCAGAAGGTGGATCTTAAACAGAAAAGTCCATTAGCTACATTGTGATAATCATGTCACAATTAGTGAAATTTCTTCTTTGGTACACAATTAATTATTTAGTAGGGAGGTTCCCAGAAGGTGGATCTTAAACAGAAAGGTTCGTTAGCTACATTGTGATACTCATGTCACAATCAGTGAAATTTCTTCCTTGGTACACAATAAATTACTTAGTAGGAGGGTTCCCCACCCGTAGGCTTATGGGGGTATAATTGATAAATCAAAATGGAATATATCAAAACATCACGTTGTACACAAATATAACTCCATTTTTATTTGTCGATTAGATCTCAATAAATCTGGAGCAGAAGAGAATTCCATATCTCTACAGCAGCCCATGAAAGAGAGAGGGGATCCGTGTTTTAACTTGGATCTGTTACTGGAAAGGGGTCCCAGTCCAGACCCCAAGAGAGGGTTCTCGGATCTCACACAAGTAAGAACTCAGGGTGAGTACACAGAGTAAAGTGAAGGCAAGTTTATTAAGAAAGTCAAGGAATATGGCTGCTCCATAGGCAGAGCAGTCCAGAGGGCTGTCAGTCGGCTATTTTTGTGGTTATTTCTTGATCGTATGCTAAACAAGGGGTGGACTGTTCATGAGTTTTCCAGGAAAGGGGAGGGGATTTCCCTGGAACTGAGAGTCCCTCCCTCGTTTAGCTTCTGGAAGTTGCCATGGCATCTGTAAGCTGTCTTGGTGGCGGTGGGAGTGTCTTTTAGCATGCAAATGCATTATAATTAGCAAATAATGTGCAGTGAGGACGACCAGAAGTCACTTTTGTTGCCATCTTGGATTTGGCAGGTTTTGGCTGGCTTCTTTGTTGCATCTTTGTGTCTTTGGGTCTTTGTGACCTGTATGTTGTGACCTGTCTCATCCTGTGACTTAGAAAGCCTCAACCCCCTGGGAATGCAGTCCAGCAGGTTGCAGCCTCAGTTTACCCAGCCCCGGTTCAAGATGGAGTCACTCTGGTTTGAAGGCCTCTGATTCACCTGGAGACACATTCCGGCTGTACCAGGCCTCCACCAGGAAAGCTCCCATGATAACCACAATTACGGCAGCCAGACCCAGTCGTACGAAGTTACCCAGGGAGTAGTTGCTCGATGTGGTACCTGGGGGAACTGAAAGAGAGAAGGGGCTCAGCACTGACCCTCAGAGGGTATCCCTCCTTCTCAAATGGCCCCACCAAATCTGACTATCATCACCCACTTAATGTTTTCGGTTTTTTGGTTTTTTTTTTTGAGACGGAGTTTTACTCTTGTTGACCAGGCTGGAGTGCAGTGGTGTAATCTCAGCTCACCACAACCTCTGCCTCCCAGGTTCAAGCCTCCCTGCCTCAGCCTCCCAAGTAGCTGGGATTACAGGCATGTGCCACCATGCCCGGCTAATTTTATATTTTTAGTAGAGACGGGGTTTCGCCATGTTGGCCAGGCTGGTCTTGAACTCCCGACCTCAGGTGACCCGCCCACCTCAGCCTCCCAAAGTGCTGGGATTACAGGTGTGAGCCACCGCGCCCGGCCACCCACTTAATGTTTTCTAGCCAGTAGTCCACTGTACTTTAAAGTTTTAATTGAACTTTTTTTTTTTCTTGAGATCAAGTTTTGCTCTTGTTGCCCAGACTGGAGTGTAATGGCACAATCTCAGCTCACTACAACCTCTGCCTCCCGGGTTCAAGTGATTCTCCTGTCTCAGCCTCCCAAGCAGCTGAGATTATGAGCATGTGCCACCACACCCGGCTAATTTTGTATTTTTAGTAGAGACGGGGTTTCTCCATGTTGGTCAGGCTGGTCTCGAACTCCTGACCTCAGGTGATCCACCCGCCTTGGCCTCCCAAAGTGTTGGGATTATAGGCATAAACCACCATGCCTGGCCATAATTGAGCTCTTTAAAGTTTTAATCCCTGAAAACAAAAGATGGAATCTTTGTTGTTGTTTTTGAGACGACGTCTCACTCTGTTGCTCAGGCTGGAGTGCAGCGACGCAGTCTCGGTTCACTGCAACCTCCACCTCCTGGGTTCAAGCGATTCTCCTGCCTCAGCCTCCCGAATAGCTAGGATTACAGGCACCTACCACCACACCCGGCTAATTTTTGTATTTTTAATAGAGATGGGTTTTCGCCATGTTGGCCAAACTGGTTTCGAACTCCTGGCCTCAAGTGATTCGCCTGCCTCGGCCTCCCAAGGTGCTGGGATTACAGGCCTGAGCCACCGCGCCCGGCCAAGATATGCAATCCTAATGAGTTGTAATGGGAGTTCCTTTATCTTCCTTCCTTGATATTCACTCCACCTTAGCTCTCTTCCTTCGTTTATTTGCTCTTTATCCCATTTCCACCTTCCCACATTGCCTTTTCTCCTCCCGCATCCTTATGTTAAGGAATAGTCTTGGGGCAGCACATGAGACGGAAGGAGCTCTACAGAGCCCCGAATTCCGTGGCTGGATCAGCATCCTCGCAGCCCACACTGCTGTGCAGCAGTGCACCTGAGAAAGTTTGAGTTGAGGCCGGGCACAGTAGCTCACGCCTGTAATCCCAGCACTGTGGGAGGCTAAGGTAGGAGGATTGCTTGAGGCCAGGAGTTTGAGAGCAGCCTGGGCAACATGGCGAAACCCCATGTCTACTAAAAATACAAAAAAATTAGCCGGGTGTGGTGGCGGGTGCCTGTAATCCCAGCTACTCAGGAGGCTGAGGCAGGAGAATTACTTGACCTGGGCCTGGGGTTGGGGGGTGGAGGCTGCAGTGAGCTCAGATTGTGCCACTACACTCCAGCTTGGGCGACAGAGTGAGACTCCATCTCAAAGAAAACAAACAAACAAACAAAACCCTAGCCTCCAGATTTTCAGGGAGGCTGATTTGAGTAATAATAAAACTCTGATTGGCCAGGTGCAGTGGCTCATGCCTGTAATCCCAGCACTTTGGGAGGCCCAAGCGGGCAGATCACGAGGTCAGGAGTTCGAGACCAGCCTGGCCAATATGGTAAAACCCCATCTCTACTAAAAATACAAAAATTAGCCAGGCAGGGTGGCACACATATAGTCCCAGCTACTCGGGAGGCTGAGGCAGAAGAATCGTTTGAACCTGGGAGGCAGAGGTTTCATTGAGCCGAGATCGCGCCACTGCACTCCAGCCTGGGCGACAGAGCAAGACTCCGTCTCAAACAAACAAACAAACAAAAAAACTCTGGTCTCCCACTTACCTGGCTCAATGTGTATTAAACTCTTTTTTGCAATTCCTCTGTCTTGATGAATGGGCTTCATCCAGGCACCCGGCAAGAGCTGTAATGTAACTCATTACAGCAGTTACAATAGATGAAAAATAATTTACAGAGCTGAGGAAGCAGAGTGCTAGCACCCAGTAAGGCAGGAAACAAGATACTTTCAGAAGAATTCTAGCAGTCAATAAAAGACATGGGTAGACTTCGCATCCACGGCATAGAAGCAGGAGGCTGTGCAAACACCATGTTCTGAGGATGAGATAATTTTTTTTTTTAATTTGAAACTGGGTCTCACTATGTTGCCCAGGCTGGTCTCAAACTCCTGGGCTCAAGCAATTCTCCAGCCTCAGCCTCCCAAAGTGCTGGGATTACAGGCCTGAGCCACCGCACATGACTGAGAAAGAATTATTGAGAGTGAAATCACTAACACCAAGAAAAACCAAAACACGCCATGCACAGTGGTTCACACCTGCAATCCCAGCCCTTTGGGAGGCCGAGGTGAGTGGATCACCTGAGGCCAGGGGTTCAAGACCAGCCTGGTCAACATGGTCAGAACCCCATCTCTACTAAAAATACAAAAATTAGCCAGGCGTGGTGGTGGGCACATGTAATCCCAGCTACTCAAGTGGCTGAGGCAGGAGAATTGCTTAAACTCGGGAGGCAGAGGTTGCAGTGAGCTGAGATCGCACCACTGCACTCCACCCTGGGCAACAGAGCGAGACTCTGTCTCAAAAACAAAATGAAACAAAACAAAACAAAAAACCAAAACGCTAAGAGATGCAAAGACTGGTAGAAGGAATCTGGTGCTGGTAGATTCATAATTTTCAAAAACAGCCTAGAAATTTTCCAAGGATGTAGTATAACAAAAAGGCAAAGGAGGGCCGGGCACGGTGGCTCACACCTGTAATCCCAGCACTTTGGGAGGCCGAGGCAGGCAGATCACCTGAGGTCAGGAGTTCAAGACCAGCCTGGTCAACACGGTGAAACCTTCATCGCTACTAAAAATAGAAAAATTAGCCGGATGGGTGGTGCAGGCCTGTAATCCTAGCTACTTGGGAGGCTGAGGCAGGAGAATCACTTGAACCTGGAAGGTGGAGGTTGCAGTGAGCGAAGATCGCGCCATTGCACTCCATCCTGGCAACAGAGTGAGACTCCATTTCAAAAAAAAAAAAAAAAAAAAAAGGCAAAGGAGTGGAAATTGTGAAAGGGAGGTTTTTTTGTTGTTTTGTTGTTTTTGTTTTTGTTTTTTGTTTTTTGTTTTTGAGACAGAGTCTCACTCTATTGCCCAGGCTGGAGTGCAGTGGCAAGATCTTGGCTCACTGCAACCTCCGCCTCCCATGTTCAAGCAATTCTCCTGCCTCAGCCTCCCAAGTAGCTGGGTCTACAGGTGCATGCCATCATACCTGGCTAATTTTTTATTTTTAGTAGAGACGGGGTTTCACTATGTTGGCCAGGCTGGTCTCAAATCCTTGACCTCAGATGATCCATCCACCTCGGCCTCCCAAAGTGCTGGGATGACAGGCATGAGCCACCACGCCAGGCCAGAAAGGGAAGATTTTGTTAAGAGCGATGATATTGTAAGTAATGAAGAAATGAGATTCACAGAAGAACAAAACAATCTCTGATTAAAAACAACACACACAGTTCCTCAAAACCATACACGCCCTTACCTGTCACCAATATCTCAAGCTGATCACTGGGTTCTGAGGCCCAGAAGGGAGACTTTGTCTGGTAGTACATGCAGCTGTAGTTCCCAGCATCGCCGGCTGTCACGTCCACCAGAGAGAAGTCTATCTCCTTCCCCGCTGGACTCTGCAGCTGGATGGGTGATGGCGTCCCTGCCTTCAGTAGAGCGAACATGATAGGCACAAACAATTGGTCTCGCTTCTGGCACTGCAGAGTCACCCTTCCACCTGCGGTCACTGTACCCCTTTGGTAGGTTCGGAGGAAAGGTTTAGATAAATGTCCTGTAAGAGAAGTCAGGTTCTGAGGTCCTGGGGAGAAGTCTGGAATCCCCCACTCACCCCTGTTCTCCTGGCCGGAGGCTCTCGTGGAGTGTGGGAAATGAGAGATTCCTGATCTCTTCTACCTTCCTCCACTTCCTACTCCGACCCCAGGACAGAGATTCTCCCTCCTACAAGACCTGTGTAAGGCCTGGCATGGTGGCTCACACCTGTAATCCCAGCACTTTGGGAGGCCAAGGCGGGTGGATCACCTGAGGTCAGGAGTTCGAGACCAGCCTGCCCAACATGGCGAAACCCTGTCTCTACTAAAAATACAAAAATTAGCCGGGCATGGTGGCAGGCACCTGTAATCCCAGCTGCTCAGGAGGCTGGAGCAGGAGAATCACTTGAGCCCAGGAGGCGGAAGTTGCAGTGAGCCGAGATGGCACCACTGCACTCTGGCCTGGGCGACAAAGTATAAAACCAACATATGCAATTTCGTTCCTGTCTCTCTCCCTCTCCCATCACCCCCAACTACTCTGAAGGTGGGACCCCTTTTCTCCCTCTGTTCCTCCACTTCCTCCCTCATCCCCTGTCCCCCGTATGTCATTGGCAGGCACCCTGTCTGTACCTGTCACCAACAGTAGAAGGACGTCACTGCGCTGTGAAAGGATGTGGGGGGATGCTTTTCTGTAGTATTCACAGGTGTACTCTCCAGCATTTCTGACTTTTAGATTATTGAGGTGAAATTCGGCCGCGCCCTCTGTAGAATCAAGGGGCTTCGGGGACTCCAGAATAATTCCTCCCTTCCTGAGAACAAAGCTCACACCTCTGGCAGGAGTCCAACATCGCAGCGTCACATTGCTGTTGGCAGGGACCACCGAGCTGGGCCAGGCACTGAGGGACGGCTTGGGCAGTGACCCTGGAAGGAAGCAGAGCCTGATGCTGGACCCGATGCCCTCCCCTGCTCTCAGGAAGCCCTTTTTAAAATTTATTATTATTATTATTATTTTGAGATGGAGTCTCCCTCTGTTGCCCAGGCTAGAGTGCAGTGGTGCAATCTCAGTTCACTGCAACCTCCGTCTCCTGGGTTAAAGCAATTCTCCTGCCTCAGCCTCCCAAGTAGGTGGGATTACAGGCACGCACCACCACACCCAGCTAATTTTGTATTTTAGTAGAGACAAGGTTTCACCATGTTGGCCAGGCTGGTCTCGAACTCCTGACCTCAGGTGATCCACCCACCTTGGCCTCCCAAAGTGCTGGGATTACAGGCGTGAACCCCTGAGCCCAATCAGGAATCCCATTTTAAGAAGGGAAGCGGGCTGGGTGCGGTGGCTCACGCCTGTAATCCCAGCACCTTGGGAGGCCAAGGCAGGCAGATCACGAGGTCATGAGATCGAGACCATCCTGGCCAACATGGTGAAACTCCGTCTCTACTAAAAATACAAAAATTAGCTGGGCGTGGTGGCAAGCACCCGTAGTCCCAGCTACTTGGGAGGCTGAGACAGGAGAATCACTTGAGCCCAGGAGGCGGAGGTTGCTGTAAGCCGAGATTGCACCACCGCACTCCAGCCTGGCGAAAGAGTGAGACTCCGTCAAAAAAAAAAGAGAAAAAGAGGGGGAAGGGGAAGAGAACAGCAGGGGATTTGGGATGACAGGCCAAGGAGGGTGTAGTTGAAGAAACACTCACCATCTCCCCTTGTGTCTCCTTGGCCCACGCACAGTCCTGCAAGACAATCCTCCGTGAGCCAGAAGCCCCTACCTGGAGCCACGTCACCCCCTGCCCTGACCCCTGGAGATCGTCCCAGAGTCTCCTGCTGAGAACAGACCCTTAGAGGTCATACGCTCAGGAGTTCTCATTCTCCCCACACTGGACTGTGGCTTCTGCTCGACTTCCAGCTCCTCCATCCTTTCCCAGCGATTCTCCTTGACCATCCTGTGTGGCTGTCACCTCCCCCTGCTCCAGGCCTTTCCCACAAATCCTTCCATTCTCATCTTCTGTTTGAAAACAGCACTCATTCTTACCATTTCTTTCTTTCTTTCTTTTTCTTTCCTTTCTTTCTTTCTTTTTTCTTTCTTTCATTCATTCTTTCTTTCATTCATTCCAGAGACAGAGTCTCGCTCTTTCTTTCTTTTTCTTTCTTTCTTTCTTTCATTCATTCTTTCTTTCTTTCATTCATTCTTTCTTTCTTTCATTCATTCCAGAGACAGAGTTGCGCTCTGTCGCCCAGGCTGGAGTAGAGTGACGCAATCTCGGCTCACTGCAACCTCCGCCTCCCGGGTTCAAGTGATTCTCCTGCCTCAGCCTCCCAAATAGCTGGGATCACAGGCATGCGCCAGGACGCCCGGCTGAGTTTTGTATTATTAGTAGAGACAGGGTTTCACCATATTGGCCAGGCTGGTCTCGAACTCCTGACCTCAGGTGATCCACCCACCTCGGCCTCCCAAAGTGCCGGGATTACAGGCATGAGCTTTGTGCCCAGCTTCTTTTTATTTTTTAATTTTTCATTTTATTATTGTGTTTTGAGACAGGGTCTCTCTCTGTTGCCCAGGTTGGAGTGCAGTGGCTCCATCATGGCTCACTGTAGCCTCCCAGGCTCAAGTGATCCTCCCACCTCAGCCTCCCGAGTAGCTGGGATCACAGGTGTGCACCACCACACCCGGCTAATTTTTTAGTCTTTCCCAGAGACAGAGTCTCCCTATGTTGCCCAGGCTCATGATCTCTTTTAATCCCTTCATGACTCCAAACAGGACAAAATTTATTGTTTGGTGTCCTGTAACAAGCCTCAAAACATCCAAATGGTCATTCCAGAAAGGGGAAAGCATACGTTCCTCCCTGTTTCACACATGGCTGCATTTGCTCTTCCTCCTTTTTAATTTTTTTTGATAGAGACAGGGCTGGGCTGGTTAAGAACTCTTGACCATGCCGGGCGCGGTGGCTCCCGCCTGTAATCCCAGCACTTTGGGAGGCCGAGGCAGGTGGATCACGAGGTCAGGAGTTGAAGACCAGCCTGGCCAACATGGTGAAACCCCGTCTATACTAAAAATACAAAAATTAGCCAGGTGTGGTGATGGGCGCCTGTGATCCCAGCTACTCAGGAGGCTGAGGCAGAGAATCGCTTGAACCCAGGAGGCAGAGTTTGCAATGAGCTGAGATCGCACCACTGCACTCCAGCCTGGCCACAGCGCGAGACTCAGTTTCAGGAAAGAAAAAAAAAAGAGAAAGAAAAGAAAAAACATAATATCAAGCCTGTTTATGAACATTATCATAATAATGAGATTGATCTAACTCAAAGAAAGTTAGTTAGGCCTGTGTCTCTGAGAGATTTCCTCTTTTTCCCCTGTGTGAACAGTTTTAGGTCTCAGCAGGAAAAAGGAGAAGTTACCAGGCGTTTGTGCTACTATTACATCCATGAGCCAATCCATAAACTGACACTTCAAGTTTTGCAAAAGGAAATTGTGAACACCCAAAATGTTCAAACAACGTAAGTGTCCATCCATGGAAGAATGGATAAACACAGTGTGCTCTATATATTCAATGGGATTTTTCTTCTTTTTCTTCGTTTTTTTTTTTTTTTTTTTTGAGACATAGTTTCATTCTTGTTGCCCAGGCTGGAGTGCAATGGCGCGATCTCGGCTCACTGCAACCTCCGCCTCGCGGGTTCAAGTGATTCTCCTGCCTCAGCCTCCCAAGTAGCTGGGATTACAGCTCACTGCAACCTCCGCCTTGCAGGTTCAAGTGATTCTCCTGCCTCAGCCTCCCAAGTAGCTGGGATTACAGCTCACTGCAACCTCCGCCTTGTGGGTTCAAGTGATTCTCCTGCCTCAGCCTCCCAAGTAGCTGGGATTACAGGCATGCACCACCATGCCCAGCTAATTTTGTATTTTTTAGTAGAGACAGGGTTTCACCATGTTGGTCAGGCTGGTCTTGAACTCCCCACCTCAGGTGATCCGCCCATCTTAGCCTCCAAAATGCTTTTTTCTTTTTCTTTTCTTTCTTTCTTTTTTTTTTTTTTTTTTTTTTGAGGCAGGGTCTCGCTCTGCTGCCCAGGCTGGAGTGCAATGATGTGATCCTAGTTCATTCCAGCATCAACTCCCTGGGCTCAGGTGATCCTCCCACCTCTGCCTCCCGAGTAGCTGGGACTACAGCTGCACACCACCATGCCCAGCTCATTTTTGTTGTTGTTGTTGTTTTTAATATTTATTTATTTATTTTGAGATGGAGTTTCGCTCTTGTTGCCCAGACTGGAGTGCAATGGCATGATCTCGGCTCACTGCAACCTCTGACTCCTGGGTTCAAGCGATTCTCTTGCCTCAGCCTCCCAAGTAGCTGGGATTACAGGCGCCCGCCACCACGCATGGCTAATTTTTATATTTTTAGTAGAAATGGGGTTTCACCCTATTGGCCAGGCTGTTCTCGAACTCCTTACGTCAGGTCATTGCAAAAAAAGTGCTGGGATTACAGGCGTGAGCCACCATGCCCAGCCTCATTTTTGTATTTTTTGTAGAGACAGGGTTTCACCATGTTGCCCAGGCTAGTCTCGAACTCCTGGGCTCAAGCGATCTGCCTGCCTCAGACTCTCAAAGTGCTGGGATTACAGGTGTGAGACACTGTGCTCGGCCTACAGTGGGATTTTAG
Source organism: Homo sapiens (assembly GCF_000001405.40). Taxonomy (NCBI): domain Eukaryota; kingdom Metazoa; phylum Chordata; class Mammalia; order Primates; family Hominidae; genus Homo; species Homo sapiens. The sequence continues at coordinate 53,197 of NW_003571056.2, forward strand.
CCATAAAAAGGAAAGGAAATCTGACATATCCTACAATATAGATGTAGCTCGAGGATATTATGCTGAGTAAACTAAGTCAGGCAAAAAAGAACAAGTGTTATGATTCCACTCATACATCCTAGAATAAGCAAATTCATAGAGATAAAAATTAGAATGGGCTGGACACGGTGGCTCACGCCTGTAATCCCAGCACTTTGGGAGGCCGAGACAGGCAGATCACAAAGTCAGGAGATCGAGACCAGCCTGGTCAACATGGTGAAACCTTGTCTCTACTAAAAAAAAAAAAAAAAAAAACTTAGCCAGGCATGGTGGTGAGCGCCAGTGATCCCAGCTACTCGGGAGGGAGAGGCAGGAGAATCGCTTGAACCCAGGAGGCGGAGGTTGCAGTGAGCTGAGATTAGGCCACTGTACTCCAGCCTGGGTGACGAAGCAAGACTCCATCTCCGAAAAAAAAAAAAAAAAAAAGAAATTAGAATGGAGGTTACCAGGGGCTGGGAGGACCGCGGCAAATACAGAGTTATTGGTTAGAGGGTGTAGCGTTCATATTGGGAATTGTGATTGTTAATTTGATTTATCAGCTAGACCAGGCCACAGGATGCTGGGATATCTGGTTAAACATTATTTCTGGGCGTGTCTGTGAGGGTGTTTTTAGAAAGATCAGCATTTGAATCTAATGCTGAGTCGGGCAGGTTGGCCTTCCTAATGGAGGTGGGTATTCTGCTGAGGGCCAGGATGGGAGAAAAAGGTGGCAGAGCCACCACAGTGGCTCACGCCTGTAATCCCAGCACTTTGGGAGGCCAAGGCAGAAGGGCTGCTTGAGGCCAGGAGTTTGAGACCAGCCTGAGTAACATAGTGAGATCCCGTCTCTACAAAAAATTTAAAAATTACACGGGGCACTGTGGCTCACGCCTGTAATCCCAGCACTTTGGGAGGCTGAGGCTGAGGCGGGCAGATCACCTGAGGTGATCACCTGAGGGAGCTCAAGACCAGCCTGGCCAACATGATGAAACCCCGTCTCTACTAAAAAGTACAAAAAATCAGCCGGGTGTGTGGTGGGCACCTGTAATCTCAGCTACCCAGGAGGCTGAGGCAGGAGAATTGCTTGAGCCCAGGAGGTGGAGGCTGCAGTGAGCTGTGGTCATACCACTGCACTCCAGCCTGGGTACAGAGTGAGACTTTGTCTCAAAAAAAGGAAAAGGAGGGAAGGAAGGAAGGAAGTAAGGAAGGAAGGAAGGAAGGGAAAGAGAGAGAGGAAGGAAGGAATGAAGGAGAAAGAGAAAGAAAGAAAGGAAGGAAGGAAGAAAGAAAGAAAGAAAGAAAGAAAGAAAGAAAGAAAGAAAGAAAGAAAGAAAGAAAGAAAGAAAGAAAGCAAGCAAGCAAGCAAGCAGGCAAGCAAGCGGGGGCTCACGCCTGTAATCCCAGCACTTTGGGAGGCCGAGGCGGGCAGATCAAGAAGTCAGGAGATGGAGACCATCCTGGCTAACACAGTGAAACCTACGAAAAAAGCCGGGCATGGTGGCGGGCGCCTGTAGTCCCAGCTACTCGGGAGGCTGAGGCAGGAGAATGGCGTGAACCCGGGAGGCGGAGCTTGCAGTGAGCAGAGATCGCACCACTGCACTCCAGCCTGGGCGACAGAGCGAGACTCCATCTCAAAAAAAAAAAAAAGAAAGAAAGAGAGAGAGAGGAAGGAAGGGAGGAAGGAAGGAAGGAAGGAAGGAAGGAAGGAAGGGAAGGAGAAAAAGAAAGAAAGGAAGGAAGGAAGGAAGAAAGAAAGAGGTTTTAGTGTAGATAGTGGTGATGGTTACACAGCGGCCTCAATTTACTTTATAGTTATCTATTTGACACTAAATTTTTATTTATGGTATTAAGGTTTCTGGGCCAGGCACAGTGGCTCACATCTGTAATCCCAGCACTTTGAGAGACTGAGGTGGGCAGATCACCTGAGGTCGGGAGTTCGAGACCAGCCTGGCCAACATGGTGAAACACTGTCTCTACTAAAAATACAAAAATTAACCAGGCATGGTGGCGCACCCCTGTAATCCAGTTACTCAGGAGGCTGAAGCAGGAGAATCGCTTGAACCCGGGAGGCAGAGGTTGTGGTGAGCCGAGATCATGCCATTGCACTACAGCCTGGGCAACAAGAGCAAAACTCTGTCTCAAAAAAATAAAATAAAATAAAATAAAATAAGGTTTCTATTCTGAATACTTTTACTTACACACAAAAAGTCAGAGTTGATCCTGAGAAAAGGGGTAAGCCAATGAAGCCAGGTGGTGGAGGCATTCAGCAAAACTCACGAAGTTGAAACTACAGGAGTTGAAGTTTGCAGAGCACTCGTTTCCAGGGAATGTCTGCACTGCACTCAGCAGGACGTCTCACTCCTCCCGTGTGCTCAGTAAGCCAAAGTTGATGTTATTATTTCCATCCCCAGCCCAACTATCCCACCAGTTCCATGATTTTCTGCAGTCCCAGTGGATAGCCCTGTGAGACTTACTGAAACAGAGGAGGGAAAGCAGCTTAGGGATCATGATGGCTCCTTAGCCCTCCCAGAGTCCGTCTTGGGTTCTGCAGTCCACAGATGGGAGAAGAGCTGGAGTCGTCGCTGCCTCTCTCCCACCCCAGAGTGTGGGCAGTAACAGCCTTTCCTAGCCTTTCAGTTTCCCCTCCCATATCCACATTCAGGAAACATGTTGATGTTGCTGATTGCAACATGCTCCTTACACACACCAGTGTTCGAGCACTTGACTCACAGGAAATGCTCCTCTGTCTCAGGCAGATTTCAGGCATCAAACAGGTAACCCCGAAAATGCTTCAGACTTGGCCCTGAAGGGTTCGTATTGAAGAGATGAAAGCACTTCACTCTTTTTTTTTTTTTTGAGATGGTGTCTGGTTCTGTTACCTGGGCTGGAGTCCAGTGGCACGATCTCAGGTCATTGCAACTTCAGCCTCCTGGGTTCAAGCAATTCTCCGGCCTCAGCCTCCCAAGTAGCTGGGATTATAGGCGCATGCCACCATGCCCGGCTAATGTTTGTATTTTTAGTTAAGATGAGGTTTCACAAGTTAGCTGGGCTAGTCTTGAACTCCTCGCCTCAAGTGATCCACCTGCCTCGGCCTCCCAAACTGCTGGGATTACAGGCATGAGCCACTGTGCCAGGCCTTCATCACCATTTTTTTTTTTTCTTTTGAGACAGAGTTCCACTCTTTCGCCCAGGCTGGAGTGAAGTGGCAAAATCTCATCTCATTGCAACCTCCACCCCCCAGGTTCAAGCGGTTCTCCTGCCTCAGCCTCCCAAGTAGCTGGGATTACAGGAGCCCTTCAACATGCCCAGTTAATTTTTGTATTTTTTAGTAGAGATGAGGTTTCACCATGTTGGCCAGGCTGGTCTCAAACTCCTGATCTCAAGTGATCCACCCACCTCAGCCTCCCAAAGTGCTGGGATTACAGGCATGAGCCACTGTGCCCAGCCAGTCATGAGCTCATTTTTTAAGTTCAGAATATTTCAGTACATATCTATCTTTATCAAATAAGAACCATTTTAAAAATAATATAAGCACCACAGCACTGTCACATCAAGAAAGTTAAGAGTACCTCCTTGATACCAGCTAATACCCATTCAGTACTCAAATTTCCCTGATTGTCTCAAAAATGTCATTTCTATCAGGTTTTTAAAGAATAAATCAGGATCCAATAAAAGTCTACAGATTGCATTTGATAATTATGTTAATTTAGCCTGGCGCAGTGGCTCATGCCTGTAATCCCAACACTTTGGGAGACCGGGGCAGGTAGATAACCTGAGGTCAGGAGTTCGAGACCAGCCTGGCCAACCATGGTGAAACCTCATCTCTACTAAAAATACAAAAATTAGCTGGGCGTGGTGGTGCACGCCTGTAATCCCAGCTACTCAGGAGGCTGAGGCAGGAGAACTGCTTGAACCTGGGAGGCAAAGGTTGCAGTGAGCTGAGATCGCACCATTGCACTCCAGCCTGGGCAACAGAGTGAGACTCAGTCTCAAAAAAAAAAAAAAAAATGTTAATTTGAATCAGACAAAATTTTTTATTTTTTTGTTAAAATAAGAAATCAAGCAAGTTAGTTTTTAACCATGTTTTTTTTCATCTTGCATTTGGAAGAAGAGCAAAATGCCCCGAAGTCTCGTTTTTGTTTTCGGATTTTTTGTCTTGATAGCACCTACTCTTCTTACTGTTTTGGAACATAGAAAAGTCAACAAGGCAACAAATTATAAGGAGTAAAACCAACTATAATTACAGGTGTTTCTTTGAAAGTTATTTTCACAAGATGTGGCAATGATTTTTAAAGGCTTGGGACTCTTACAAGACCCTTTTGTTCAAATAACAGTTTTGTGTATGAATTTATTTCAACAGAGAACAATTTAGTAATGTTTGTGAATATTCATTTAGTTCTCCATATTGTACCAGAAAACAAGACTGATATTCTTGTGAATCTTCTCAATTCAACTCTTTATCAAATCAGATTCCTTAAATTAGTGTTGTGACTCAGAAAAAATCTTTCTCCTTATGCAGTATCAGGGAAAAGAGGACATCTCCTATATTTCTTCTTAACATCTCTGTTGCTAACAAGGAATATGCATATTTTAAAACTAGGCTCTGGAATTTTATCAGTCAACAGGAAAGGCCTGGTAAAGTTCCATTCCACTTGGAAATGAAGAAAGGAGACCCTGATTCAAAAAACGAAAAAAGAAAGAATAAAGAATAGCTTAGGGCCAGGCAAGGTGGATCACACCTGTAATCCTAAGATTTTGGGAGGTGAGGTAGGTGGAAGGCTTGATCCCAGGAGTTCAACACCAGCCTGGGCAACATGGCCTAATCCCATCTCTACAAAAAATACAAAAATTAGCCAGGCTTGGTGGTATATACCTGTAATCCCAGCTTCTCAGGAGGCTGAGGTGGGAGAATCACTTGAACCTGGGAGGGGGAGGTGGCAGTGAGCTGAGATCGCACCATTGTACCCCAGCCTGGGCAACAAGAGTGAAACTCCATCTCAAAAAATAATAATAAAATAAATAAATAAATAATCATTCACTTTGTTAGGTGTTTATCACACCTAACCTTAAGAATATGTTACCAAAATAAAAAGTCTTATAGATGAAATCATATTATATCTGAGGTTTACTTTAAAATACTCCAGGAGAAAATTTAAAATAGACTTGGGGGAGGGGACTTATCTGTAGTTATCTGCACATAATCTACATGATTATCTCAAAGCCATCCTTTTGCTGTTGAGAATTCTGATTTTTAGCTGGGCCCATTGGCACCCAGGTAAAAAACTACATTCTTCAGTGTCACTTACAGGTAGATGTAGCCGTAAGTCTTCATCTAGGACAATGATAAATAAGCATAAATATTGTAGACAGCTTCCAAAAGGTTCTTTAATGAAGTACACTTTCCTTCCTTCACTTAACTGCCTAAAATGTGGATGTGATGACTGGTATTCTAGCGTCATCTTGAACCATGAAGATGAGATGAGGTTCAAGATGGTGGAGGGTGAGCCAGAAGTAACTTAGGTCCATAATGCTTTTTGGAGTCACTGTGCCAGCCTTGGACTGCTCCCTTCAGATTTATTCTACATAAGGGAGAAATCAATTGGTATTAGTTTTAAGTCATCATTATTTAGTTCTCTTTTGGGTTTAGGTTATCAATTACTGTGTTAACAAACCACCCCAAAACTGAGTAACTTAGAGTAACAATCTTGTTTTTTTTTTTTTTTAATCATTCCTGATCTGGTGAGATGACTGGGCTCAGTTGAGCGGTTCTTCGGTTCAATGTGATGTCTTCCTGGGCTTCAGTCATCAGGGTGGCTCAACTGAGCTGGAATCTCCAAGATGGCACTTGCAAATGGCTGGCTGTTGATGCTGGATGTTGGTTGAAAGCTCGGCTAGGACTGTTGAATGATGTACCTGCACATGGCCTCTCCATTTGATTCAGACTTCTTGGAGGATAGCATCTGGGTTTCAAGAGGGGATGTCACAAGAGAGCTTTCTAAAATAGAGAAGGCGGCTGGGCATGGTGGCTCACGTCTGTAATCCCAGCACTTTGGGAGGCCGAGGTGGGTGGATCACCTGAGGTCAGGAGTTCAACATCAGCCTGGCCAACATGGTAAAACCCCGTCTCTACTAAAAACAAAATTAAAAAAAATTAGCCGGGTGTGTTTGTGCACACCTGTAATCCCAGCTACTCAGGAGGCCGAGGCAGGAGAATTGCTTGAACCTGGGAGGCGGAAGTTGCAGTGAGCCGAGATCACACCACTGCACTCCAGCCTGGGCAACAGAATGAGACTCTGTCTCAAATAAATAAATAAATAAATAAAATAAAGAAGGCAAAAGTTGTTTGTCCCTTTAAAGACTAAGCCTGGAACTGACACAGTTTCTCTTCTTCTACAGTCTTAAGGAAAGGCCAGATTCAAGGGGAGGGAAAATAAACTCTACCTCTCTATAGGGACAGTGACAAAGAATTGGAGGCCATCTTTAGTCTGTCATGTGTTATGGTCAATGGAAATAGATATATATATATTTACTGAGTGCCTGAGTCCCACCGAGAGATTTTAATTATTTTTTTATTTTTGTTTTTTTAAGATGGAATTTTGCTCTTGTTGCCCAGGCTGAAGTGCAATGGCATGATCTCAGCTCACTGCAACCTCTGCCTCCCGGGTTCAAGCGATTCTCCTGCCTCAGCCTCCCAAGTAGCTCGGATTACAGGCAAGTGCCACCACACCCAGTTAATTTTGTATTTTTTAGTAGAGATGGGATTTCTCCATGTTGGTCAGGCTGGTCTTGAACTCTTGACCTCAGGTGATCTGCCCACCTTGGCCTCCCAAAGTGCTGGGATTACAGGTGTGAGCCACCGTGCCCAGTCGAGATTTTAATTTTTATAATGGGTATAGGATGAGGCCTGGGTGTCTCATTCTGTGTTTTAAATGTTCCTGGGAAATTCTAATGTGCAGTCAAGTTTGAGAACCACTGGGTTGGAACACATAACCTCCTTCCCATCTCAGACCCTGAAACATCCTGAAAACTCCTGTATCTGGAGTTTTTCCCCCATTTTTGCTTGGCTAACTTTGACTCTTCCCTCAGAAACCAGCTTCAGAATCTTTTCTTTAGCAAAGACTTCCCTGCAAGTTCTTTAACAGCACTTATCTCAGCTGTGACAAAATCATCAATGGTGTAATTGTGTCTTTTTAATGTCTTTTCCCCTATTCTTCATAATCGTCAAAGTAAAGGATAGCTCTTCTCTCAGTCAGAACTATTAATAGATGCTGTAATGGAAATGAAACAAGACTCTCAGACTCTTGTTAAAGTAAGAAGTCTAGCAGAGTCTCAGGCTTTAATTTTTTTTTTCCGATCATAAATGTGGGAGAAAGATCATTTAACCTGCTGCTAAGGTTTGAATATTTGTTCCCTTGAAAACTCATGTTGAACCAGCCTGGGCAACATAGGGAGACCCTGTCTCTACAAATAATTTAAAAATTAGCCAGGTGAGGTGGCACATGCCTGTGATCCCAGCTACTCAGGAGGCTGAAGTGGGAGGATCACCTGAGCCCAGAAAGCTGAGGATGCAGTGAACCGTGATTGCACCACTGCACTCCAGCCTGTGCAACACAGTGAGACCCTGTCTCAAAAAATAAATAGGTAAATAAGCTGAGTGTGGTGGCTCACACCTGTAATCTCAGCACTTTAGGAAGCCAAGGTGGGCAGATCACATGAGGTCAGGAGTTTGAGACTAGCTGGCCAACATGATGAAACCCTGTCTCTACTAAAAATACAAAAATTACCCGGGCATGGTGGCACGTGCCTGTAATACCAGCTACTCAGGAGGCTGAGGCAGGAGAATCACTTGAACCTGGGAGGTGGAGGTTATAATGAGCTGAGATCATGCCACTGCTGTCCAGCCTGGGTGACATAGCAAGACATTGTCTCAAAAAATACATAAATAAATAATAAATAAATAAACTTATGGTGAAACTGAATCCCTAATGTGGCCGTATTGATAGGTCGGGCATTTAAGAGGTGATTGGGTCATGAGGACTCTTTTCTCATGAATGAACTAATCCATTCATGGATTAATGGATTAGTGAGTTAATGGATTAATGGGTTACCCTGGGAGTGAGACTGGTGGCTTTATCAGAAGAGGAAGAGAGACTTAAGTAGCACGCTCAGCTCTTTTGCCCTGTGATGCCCTGTGCCACCTCGGAACCCTCCAGAGAGTCCCCAACAGCAAGAAGGTCCTCACCAGATGCAGCCCCTCCACCTTGGACTTTCCAACCTCCATTAACTACAGGAAATAAATTCCTTTTCTTTATAAGTTATCTGGCTTCAAGTGTTCTGTTCTAAGCAACAGAATACAGACTAAGACACAGACACCAATGCATAGCTTCTGATTTAACAGAATTGTTTTTACAAGCATTTATTCTGCTTGGAAATTCAGATGTCAATCATAAGATTGTTACCAGGGCAACAAAATATTAAGTAAGACCACCAAATGGCACCAAGGTTTCTCCTTCAAAATAATGATTGCAATACTGGCAATAATTTCTAATGTCTTTGGACTCCTACAAGATTATTTTGTGCAAATTACACTTCAAAGCACAGATTTATGGAACCACAGAATGGAACACTGGCTGCTGTAATAAATATCCATAGATCTCCATACTACATAAGACTATAAAACACATTTAGAGCCTTTTTAATATTCTCAGTTTATTAACTTATCAATCCACATTCCATTTTTTTGTTTGTTTGTTTTGTTTTGTTTTTTTACTTTAAGTTCTAGGGTACATGTGCATAATGTACAGGTTTGATACATGTGCCATGTTGGTTTGCTCCACCCATCAAGTTATCATTTACATTAGGTATTTCTCCTAATGCTATCCCTCCCCCAGCCCCCCACCCCACTCTGTTTTTTTTTTTTTTGTTTTTTTTTTTTTAAGACAGGGTCTCACTGTGTCACCCAGGTTGGAGTGCAGTGGTGTGATCTCGACTCACTGCAACCTCTGCCTCTCGGGTTCAAGTGATTCTCTTGCCCCAGCCCTCCCAAGTACAAGGAATTACAGGGTTGTGCCACCACGCCGGGCTAATTTTTGTACTTTTAGTAGAGACAGTGTTTTGCCATGTTGGCCAGGGCTGGTCTCGAACTTCTGGGCCCAAGTGATCCGCCTGCCTCGACCTCCCAAAGTTCTGGGATTACAGGTGTGAACCACCATGCCTCGCCTAAACTACATTCTTGAATTAGTTTTATGGCACAGAATATCTTTTTCTCCTCTCTCAATGCCCTCTCTCTCTCTAGCTCCCTCTCCTCCCCTACAGCTGCAAAGAAGAGATCTTCTTAATCCATTTCTTAAACTTCTTTTGATCAATTATAAAGAATTTTTTTTTTTAGATGGAGTCTCACTCTGTCACCCAGGATGGAGTGCAATGGCACAATCTCAGCTCACTGCAACCTCTGCCTCCCGGGTTCAAGTGATTCTCCTGCCTCAGCCTCCCAAGTAGCTGGGACTACAGGCATGTGCCACTACGCCCGGCTACTTTTTTTTTTTTTTGTATTTTTAGTAGAGACGGGGTTTCACCATGTTAGCCAGGATGGTCTCGATCTCCTGACCTCATGATCCGCCCACCTCAGCCTTCCAAAGTGCTGGGACTACAGGCGTGTGCCACTACACCCGGCTACTTTTGTGTGTGTGTGTGTGTGTGTTTAGTAGAGACGGAGTTTCACCATGTTAGCCAAGATGGTCTCGATCTCCGGACCTTGTGATCCACCCGCCTCAGCCTCCCAAAGTGCTGGGATTACAGGTGTAAGCCACTGTGCCCGGCCAATTATAAATATTTTTTAAGGCTAAACTCTGGAATTTTGCTAGTTAGCCTTAAAAGCACAAAGCAGGCCTATAAAGTTCAATTTTACTGGTAGAAAGCAAGAAATGGATGAATAGGATGTTCGCTGACAACCATGCAATTGAAACCTCCTTTGCAAAAATTACGAGAGTGAGCAAACGATGGCAGTGAAGGAGATCGGATCTGGCCAGCCCCTACCTTGCCTTTGGCCCTCAAACTGCTTGTAGTTATTCCTGGGTTTAGGCTAATCTGACTTGTCTCTTTGGGAGACATTTATTTTATTTTCTTTTATATTTCCTTGAGACGGAGTCTCGCTCTGTAGCCCGGGCTGGAGTGCAGTGGTGAGATCTCGGTTCACCGCAACCTCTGCATCCTAGTTCAAGGGATTCTCCTGCCTCAGCCTCCAGAGTAGCTGGAATTACAGGTGCCTGCCACCATGCCCGATTAATTTTTGTATTTTTAGTAGAGACGAGGTTTCACCATGTTGGCCAGGCTGGTCTGAAACTCCTGACCTCAAGAGATCCGCCCGCCTTGGCCTCCCAAAGTGCTGGGATTAGAGGAAAGAAGGAAAGGAAGGAAAAGAAAGGAAAAGAGAGGAGAGGAGAGGGGAGGGGAGGGGAAGGGAGAGAAAGGAAAGGAAAGGGAGAGAAAGGGAAGAGAGAAAGAAAGAAGAAAAGAGAGAAAGAAAGAAAGAAAGAAAGAAAGAAAAATAAAGAAAGAAGAAAAAAGAAAAGAGAAAAGGAAGGAGGGAGGGAGGGAGGCAAGGAAGGAAGGAAGCAAGAAAGAGAGAAAGAGAGAAAAGAGGCTCCTTATAAATAACAAAAGACACCCTTCTCACCAAGGGTTTTTGGAAATTCCAGAGTGATGGGGTGAGAAGGGTGTCTTTGGAACCAAAGCTGAAGACCAAGTACATATTTCTTACTATATCACGGTATCACGGGAGGTAAAACGGAGGTGGCCTTGAAGCAGCTCCTCCCCAGCCCCCAATCCTCTTGTGTGCCCGGAGGATCAGAAGAGGTCCCGCCGAGACTCAGCTTAGCTGTGGTTCAAGCCTCTGATTGCGTGGATAAGTACCAGGTTTCCAGAGTGCCAGGGCGGGGCTGCCCCTTGCGGTGGCATTAACTTTCCATGGCTATTTAAAATCAGCAGAGGACACACGATCTTCAGATGGGTCCTGTTTTACTTCCATATTTTCTCCTAGAGAGAAGAAAAATCATTAAACTTTTTTTTGTTTGTTTTTTGTTTTTTTGTTTTATTCGTTGTTTTTTTTTTTTTTTTTTTTTTTTGAGACGGAGTCTCGCTCTGTGGCCCAGGCTGGAGTGCAATGGCGTGTATCAGCTCACTGCAACCTCTGCCTCCAGGGTTCAAGTGATTCTCCTGCCTCAGCCTCCCGAGTAGCTGGGATTACAGCTTTGTATTTTTAGTAGAGTCGGGGTTTCACTATATTGGCCAGGGTGGTCTCCAACTCCTGACCTCAGGTGATCTGCCTGCCTTGGCCTCCCAAAGTGCTGGGATTACAGGCGTGAACCACCGCACCTGGCCTACTGTATTTTTTTTTTTTTTTTTGAATAGAGAAGGGAGTCTCAAACTCTTGGCCTCAAGCCATCCTCCTGCCTCAGTTTCCCAAAATGCTGGGATTATGAGTGAGCCACTGCACCTATCCCACCCCCTCCCACCCTCATTTTTAGAAGGGCACAGGCTAGAGACCATATTTCCATCAGTCACTTTTGCGGCTAGACCTGTCCATGAGACTAAGTTCTAGCCAATGGGATGCGATAGGAAGATACATGCTCAAATTCTAGGTCCTGCTCTTAAAAAATAATTGTGTGGGCCGGGCGCAGTGGCTCACGCCTGTAATCCCAGTACTTTGGGAGGCTGAGGCAGGCGGATCACGAGGTCAGGAAATCGAGACCATCCTGGATAACACGGTGAAACCCCGTCTCTACTAAAAATACAAAAAAATTTAGCCGGGTGTGGTGGTGGACGCCTGTAGTCCCAGCTACTTGGGAGGCTGAGGCAGGAGAATGGCGTGAACCCGGGAGGCGGAGCTTGCAGTGAGCCGAGATCGCGCCACTGCACTCCAGCCTGGGCGACAGAGCAAGACTCCAACTCGGAAAAAAAAAAAAATAATAATTGTGTGAGCCCTTTTCTCTCTGTCCTCTCCTCTTTCTTGGGGCTCAGAACCAGAAATTAAAGCTACATGTTGATAAAAGCAAAACCATCCCACCTTAACAAGTAAATCGTTGAGATTGCCCAGTGATTTACTGTTAAGTGAGAGAGAGGTACATTTATATCTAGTTTTTTTCCGGTGGTGAAGGAGATTCTTTTTTTCTCTCTCTCTCTCTTTTTTATGAGATGGAGCTTGGCTCTTGTTGCCCAGGCTGGAGTGCAATGGCACGACCTCGGCTCAGTGAAACCTCCGCCTCCCGGGTTCAAGTGATTCTCCTGCCTCAGCCTCCCGAGTAGCTGGGATTACAGGCATGCACCACCACACCAGGCTAATTTTTTGTATTTAGTAGAGACAGGGTTTCACCATGTTAATCAGGCTGCTCTCGAACTCCTGACCTCAGGTGATCCACCTGCCTTGGCCTCCCAAAGTGCTAGGATTACAGGTGTGCGCCACTGCACCTGGCCGGGAGATTCTTTTTTACAACAGCTTAAAGTGCTCTGTAACCAATACACTATGCAGTGATTTGGTTAATACTTTGTGAGTTCCATGAGTGCAGGGTTTATGTCTGCTATTGCTCCCCACTGGACCGCCGGACTCTAGCACAATGCCATGCACGGTAGACATTGAATACATGAGTGATACGAGGATGAATGAGACTAGGGGAAATCAGTGGAAGCCCTAGGCCTGGCACAGTGACTCACTCCTGGAATCCCAGCACTTTGGGAGGCCAAGGAAGGAGGATGGCTTGAGGCCAGGCATTCAAGACCAGCCTGGACAACATGGTGAGATCCCATAGCTATAAAAAGTAAACAATTAGCCGGGCGCGGTGGCTCACGCCTGTAATTCCAGCACTTTGGGAGGCCGAGGGGGGTGGATCACGAGGTCAATAGATCGAGACCATCCTGGCCAACATGGTGAAACCCCATCTCTACTAAAAATACAAAAGTTAGCTGGGCATGGTGGTGGCACACGCCTGTAATCCCAGCGACTCGGGAGGGCGAGGCAGGAGAATCACTTGAACCCAAGAGGCGGAGGTTGCAGTGAGCCGAGATCGCGTCATTGCACTACAGCCTGGCAACAGAGCGAGACTCCATCTCAAAAAAAAAATAATAATAATAGTAATAATAAATTGGCCAGGCGTGGTGATGGCAGTGTTGTCATTGCTTTAAGAGGCAGGAACAGGGGGAAAAGACCCAGCAGTCTAACCACACAGACAAGTCCCAAGTTAGGCACTTCTGTGTGTCTTGGGGGCTGTTGATCAGAAATAACCTATGTGGATCACCCAGCAAAATGACCAGTATGAAAAGATGTTCAGTGGTAGAAAATGAAATAAGCATTGTGACTACAACTCACTCAATAAGCATTCATTGAACACTGGTCACTGGTAAACTGCTATGAAGAAATCTCAGCTGGGTGCGGTGGCTCACGCTTGTAATCCCAGCACTTTAAAGGGAGACCAAGGTGGGCAGATGGATCACTTTAGGTCAAGCGTTCGAGAACAGCCTGGCCAACATGGTGAAACCCCATCTCTACTAAAAACACAAAATTAGCCGGGCATGGTGGCAGGTGCCTGTAATCCCAGCTACTTGGGAGGCTGAGGCAGGAGAATCGTTTGAACCCGGGAGGTGGAGATTGTAGTGAGCTGAGATCACAACACTGCACTCCAACCTGGGAAACAGAGCAAGACTCCATCTCAAAAAGAAAAAAAATCTCAAGCTTATTGGATAGATAAATGCACAGGTAGATAGATGGATATTGAATGAATAAATAGTTCAGTGGATTAAAAACTGGTTAATGAAGAAATGGATGGGTAAATGGATGGAAATATGAATGAATGCATGATGGATAAGGACAAATGAAATAGACAAATGTACAAATGAAAGCAAAGGAAAAAGAGATGCTCAATAGAAATGAATAAGGATGAGAATCAATGCTAGACATGAATGAGTGAATGGTGAATGAAGGAGTGATTGAATGGATGAATACATGGAGTTAAGTTGAAGTACAAACTCGGCCAAGACTTCTTTTTCTCTGCTTTGGGTGGAAATACATTTTTAAAAAAAGAGGGCCGGGCACGGTGGCTCATGCCTGTAATCCCAGCACTTTGGGAGGCTGAGGCGGGCGGATCACCTGAGTTTGGGAGTTCGAGGCCAGCCTGACCAACACAGAGAAACCCTGTTTCTACTCAAAATACAAAATTAGCCAGGTGTGGTGGCTCACACCTGTAATCCCAGCTACTCGGGAGGCTGAGGCAGGAGAATCACTTGAACCTGGGAGGCGGAGGTTGTGGTGAGCCGAGATGGCGCCATTGCACTCCAGCCTGGGCAACAAGAGCGAAAGTCCACCTCAAAAAAAATAAAATAAAATAAAATAAAATAAAAAAAGAGGGAAAAAGGAAAAAAAAAGACTCCCTGATGTGCCACTGACTTCCTGTACATGTTTAGGTAAACTTAATATCACCTCTCTTTCCACCATTTTCCCATTTATAAAGTGGGAAGACTGGATTTGATGACATCACAGCCTCATCCAGGTCTGGTGCCTTCCTTATAACCTGCGTCTCTTCTTTATTCTTTTTTTTTTTTTTTTTTTTTTTGAGACGGAGTTTTGCTCTGTCACCCAGGCTGGAGTGTGCAGTGATGCAATCTCGGCTCACTACAACCTCCGCCTCCTGGGTTCAAGCAATTCTCCTGCCTCAGCCTCCCGAGTAGCTGGGATTACAGGCGCCCGCCACCACGCCCGGCTAATTTTTGTATTTTTAGTAGAGACGGGGTTTCACCATGTTGTCCAGGCTGGTCTCGAACTTCTGACTTCGTGATCCACCTGCCTCGGCCTCCCAAAGTGCTAGGATCACAGGTGTGAGCCAGCACCCCCGGCTTATTCCTTTTTTAAAATTGTTATTATTTCCCACAGCCACATATGCCGGGGAGGTTGTCCCACATATGTTCTACCAAGGCCCCTCTGGCACTGAGATCAAACCCCGGAAGACCCGCTCAGTCTCTCCTCCCGTCTTTTCAACACGTTAGCGCCCCCAGGTGGCTAATTAGACTTCAAAATTCAGTTCTTGAGGCGGGCGGATCACTTGAGGTCAGGAGTTCAAGACCAGTCTGGTCAACATGGTGAAACCCCGTCTCTACTAAAAATACAAACATTAGCCGGACATGGTGGTACGCACCTGTAATCCCAGCTATTCGGGAGGCCGAGGCAGGTGGATCACTTGAGGTCAGGAGTTCGAGACCACCTGGCCAATTTGGCAAAACTCCATCTCTACTAAAAATACAAAAATTAGCTGGGCGTGATAGCGCACACCTGTAATCCCAGCTACTCAGGAGACTGAGGCACGAGAATCACTTGAACCCGGGAGGCGGATGTTGCAGTGAACCGAGATCACGCCACTGCACTCCAGCCTGGGTGGAGTGAGATCTTCTCTCAAAAAAAAAAAAGAAAGAAAGAAAGAAAAAGTCGTGCTTGATTATGCTTGATGGCAAAAAGGTGAGACCTTCCTTTCGGCACTGAGTCTGGTAGAAATCGGTGTTACAGGGTAGCTAACATTTATTGAACACTTACTACGGGCCAGTTACTGCTTTAAATGTTTTATGTGTATTACCCACTGAATCCTACAACAATCCTATGAAGTGGGTTTTATCAGTGCATCCATTTTACCGTCAAGGCAAGAGAGAGTTGGGGAAGGGCGCTTTCTGAATGCTGCTACCGTGTCCAGAGTTGGTTCCTTCCTGTGGGTTTGTGGTCTCGCTGACTTTAAGAATGGAGCCAGGGACCTTCGTGGTGAGTGTTACAGCGCTTAAAGATGGCACGGACCTAAAGAGTTAGCAGCAGCAAGATTTATTGTGTAGAGCAAGAGAACAAAGCTCCCACAGCGTGGAAGCAGACTCTGGTGGGGTGCCGCGCTCGCCAGCTTTTATTCCCTTATTGTCCCCGCCCATGTCCTGCTGATTGGTCCATTTTACAGAGCGCTGATTGGTCCATCTTACAGAGTGCTGATTGGTCCATTTTACAATCCTCTTGTAAGACAGAAAAGTTCTCCAGGTCCCCATTCAACCCAGGAAGTCCAGCTGGCTTCACGTCTCACTACTACCTTTCTGTAGCTGCTACTACTACAGTGAGTAGACGGCAGTGCTGGGATTCGAACCCTCTGTCTTCTGGCTTGGAAGTCTTAACCACTAATCGCGTCTTCCTTTCAGCTACTCCTTGGGAAAGGCCTGGAAAGAAGCTACAGCACAGGGCACAGCGGGGTCTAAGGACCGTTCCGCGGAGCTCAGCCAGCAGGACTGTGGGGCTGCAGGAAAGGACAGTCCAGCCCAGGGTCCCAGCTTCTCCGCCACTCAGGTTGGAAGTCTCGGGCTGCAGTGCTCCTGGGGCTCAGGGGCGGATACCAGCAGGAGCGCGGTTCTGACTGCGCCAGTCAAAAGTGACCAGCGCGCCCAGGGAGATGAGGACCAGCCCGGCCAGCCCCAGGCGGACTAGGTTCCCCCGGGTGTAGTCGGAGGAGCCAGAGTCTGCGGGCGGAGCCGGGAGAGAGGGGCCATCAGCTCCCGGACCCCAAAGTCTGGGCCCTGAACTCCAGGTTTCCAGCCCCTGGGGTGGACTTAGGGACCTGACTCTACAGTCTCAAAGTTGAGGGGGAGTCGATGGAGGCTTCAACTCCTGGGTCCAGGAAGAAGGGGCTGGGGCCTGGACTGCTGGATCAGGAAGGAGGGGCTGGGGGCCTGGAGTCCTGGGTCCAGGAAGGAGGGGCTGGGGGCCTGGAGTCCTGGGTCTGAGGGAGGAGGTACTGGGGCCCGGGAATCCTGGGTCTGAGGGAGGAGGAGCTGGAGGACTAGACTCCTGGATCTGAGGGAGGAGGGGCTGGGTCCCAGGAATCCTGGGTCTGAGGGAGGAGGGGCTGCAGGACTAGACCCCTGGGTCTGAAGGAGGAGAGGCTGGGGGCCTGGGCTCCTGGGTCTGAGGGCGGAGGTCCTGGGGCCTGCATTCCTGGGGCGGAGGAGGCGGGCCGGGCCTCAGGGCCCTCACCTTCCCAGCTGATGACCAGCACCTCGCTGCGCTGCGACAGCACGTAGGGCGCGGAGGGCGTGTGATAGTAGCAGCTGTAGGTGCCGGGGGCGCGGGCGCCCAGCAGCGTGAAGTCGGCCCAGGGCTGCGCGGAGTGGCGGTACTGCAGCGGGGCCGCCACGCCCTCGCGGTACAGCACGAAGCTCATGTTCCGCAGGCGGCCCGCGCAGCGCAGGCTCACGTTGGCGCCAGGACCCACCACCGGCCCGGGCAGCGCCACCAGCGACGGCCGCGGCAGCTCCTCTGCAGAGACGGGGTGAGAGTCCGGGGCCGCGTGAGCGTCTTCCGCTCGCTCGCTCGCTCTGTTTCTCCTTCTCCTCTGTCTCTCGCTTTCTCTGTGCCTCTCTCTCTCTTTCTGCCTCTCTTTCTCTCTGCCTGTCTCTCTCTCTGTCTGCCTCTCTCTCTGCCTCCCTCTCTCTCTGCCTCCCTCTCTCTGCCTCCCTCTCTCTCTGCCTCCCTCTCTCTCTGCCTCCCTCTCTCTCTGCCTCCCTCTCTCTCTGCCTCCCTCTCTCTCTGCCTGCCTCTCTCTTTGCCTGCCTCTCTCTCTGCCTCCCTCTCTCTGCCTCCCTCTCTCTCTGCCTCCCTCTCTCTCTGCCTCCCTCTCTCTCTGCCTCCCTCTCTCTCTGCCTCCCTCTCTCTCTGCCTGCCTCTCTCTCTGCCTGCCTCTCTCTCTGCCTCCCTCTCTTTCTGCCTCCCTCTCTCTCTGCCTCCCTCTCTCTCTGCCTCCCTTTCTCCTTCTGCCTCTTTCTCTCTCTCTCCCCCCGCACTGTACCTCTCTCTCTCTCTGCTCCCCTGTCTCTCTCTCTCTGCTCCCCTGTCTCTCTCTCTCCCCCTAGTGTCTCTGTATCTGTCTTTTCTTGTGTCTGTGAATCTGTTTGCCCGCCTCGCTCTGTCTCTCTTTCCCTATATCTCTCTGTCCCTCCCCCAACTCCCTTGTTCCACCCACTTCTCCTCCCCGACCCCAGGACCTCACCTGTCACCAGCAGCTCCAGGACATCGCTGGGCTGGGACCAGACACCCGGCCCCCAGTCTGGCCTTCGGTAGCAGCAGCGGTAAATTCCCCCTTGGGCTGGAGTCACCTCCTCCAGAAAGAATTCTGCCAGCTCGGAGGACACATCCCGGAAGAGAAGGGGAGCGATCTCTCCAGGCTTGAAAAGTCCAAATCTCCAAGCGGGTTGGGGTGCCCGGCATCTCAAGGTCACGTTGACCCCAGGGGTCACAACTGTAGCCGGCTGAGCTCCCAGCCATGGCTTAGGGTGGTATGAAGCTGGGGGGACTGAATAAACGGGGCTGCCTGGGTCCTCGGGCCTCCTGGGAGCCCCAGAAGATGAAAGGGAAGTTGGGGAAGGAGGAAAATCACCTTGGACAATTACTGCCCCTTTCTTAGCCTCAGTTTCCTGTTTGTAAAATCAGGGAGAGACTGGACTACAATCAAGCCTTGTTAAAACCAGGTGCAAATCAGAGGGGCAGGACAGAAACTTCTGAGCTTTACTCCACAGTTTGTAAACACAGTTTCAAAAGGTCAGGTCCCAGAACTCTGTAATTTTATTATTATTATTATTTTTAAGTAATGAGATGGGAGGGGGCGGTCTCCCTATGTTGAGCAGGTTGGTCTTAAACTACTGGCCTCAAGCAATCCTCCCACCTCGGCCTCCCAAAGTGCTAAGTTTACAAGCTTGTGCCACCACACCCAGACTTTTTTTTTTTTTTTTTTTTTTTTTGAGGCAGGGTCTTGCTGTGTTGCTCAGGCAGGAGTGCAGTGGCATGTTCTCAACTCACTGCAGCCTCAATCTCTTGGGCTCAAACAGTCCTCCACCTCAGCCTCCTGAGTACCTGGGACCACAGGCACATGCCACTACACCAGGCTAATTTTTTTTTTTTAATTTTTAGTAGAGACGAGCATTCGCTATATTGCCCAGGCTACTCTTGAACTCTTGGGCTCGAGCAATCCTCCCACCTCGGCCTCCCAAAGTGCTGGGATTACAGGTGTGAGCCACCACGCCCAGCCAGAACTCTAATTTTAAATAGCTTTCCAGAATATTTGCAATATAGTATTTCAAGAGTTGCCAAAACTTGCTATTTGGAAAAGAAAAATGTTGGATCCCTACCTCATACCATTTCCCAAAACAACTTCCAGATTAATTAAAGACCCTGTGTTTCTTTTTTTTTAAACTATAAAAGTATTCAAAAAACTATAGGAAAATATATTTGTCTTGGGGTAAGGAAGGCTTCTTAAAATATAAAATAAAAAGTTGTATGGAAGATTAATTAATTTGACCACTTCAAATTTCTTAAGTTGTGTATGCTAAAAGACAAAACTGGAGGACAAATGATAGTACTGGCAGATATCACTTATTCACAAATCACACAAATTAAGAGTACAGGAAGGCTGTTGGGTCCGGTGGCTCACAGCTGTAATCCCAGCACTTTGGGAGGCCAAGGTGGGTGCATCACCTGAGGTCAGGAGTTCAAGACCAGCCTGACCAACATGGTAAAATCCCATCTCTACTAAAAACAGAAAAATTAGCCAGGCGTGGTAGTGCTAGCTTGTAGTTCCAGCTGTTTGGGATGCTGAGTAGGAGAATTACTTGAACCCTAGAGTCGGAGGCTGCAGTTAGCTGAGATCATGCCACTGCACTCCAGCCTGGGCAACAGAGTGAGAACTCCATGGTGGCATGCACTTTGGGAGGCTGAGGCTGGAGGATTGTCTGAGCCCAGGAATTCAAAGCTGCAGTGAGCTATGATAGAGCCACCGTACTCCAGCCCGGGTGACACAATGAGACCCCATCTCTAAAAATGAATAAAAATAAGGGTCGGGTGAGGGGGCTCATGTTTGTAATCCCAACACTTTGGGAGGCTGAGGCAGAGGGATCACCTGAGGTCAGGAGTTCCAGACCAGCCTGACCAACATGGGGAAACCCTGTCTCTACTAAAAATACAAAAATTATCCGGGCATTGTGGTGTGTGCCTGTAGTCCCAGCTACTCAGGAGGCTGAGGCAGGAGAATCCCTTGAACCCAGGAGGTGGTTGCAGTGAGCCGAGATTGCACCACTGCACTCCGGCCTGGGCGACAGAGAGAAACTGGTCTCAAAATAAATAAATAAATAAATAAAATAAATAGGTAGAGATAGCTATAGCGACACTGAAATATCTCCAAAAGAGTTTTTGTTTGTTTGTTTGTTTGTTTGTTTTTGAAGTGGAGTCTTGCACTGTCACCCAGGCTGGAGTGCAGTGGCGCGATCTCAGCTTACTGCAACCTCTGCCTCCTGGGTTCAAGCGATTCTCTTGCCTCAGCCTCCTGAGTAGCTGGGATTACAGGTGCGTCCCACCACACCCGGCTAATTTTTTTTTTTTTTTTTTTTTTTTTTTAGTAGAGACGGGGTTTCACCACATTAGCCAGGATGATCTCGATCTGACCTTGTGATCCGCCCGCCTCTGCCTCCCAAAGTGCTGGGATTACAGACGTTGGCCATTGCGCCCAGCCCAAGATCCTATTTCTTAAGCCCTGTACTGTGCCAGGCTCAGGGTTTTGCACATGTGATTTGATGAGATCTCACAGCGGCCCATTTTACAGAGAAGGAAATGGAGTCTTAGCAAGCTGTGACTTGTTCTAGGTCATATGGTCACATATAAATGAATACGATGGTGAAACTGAGGTCCTAGCTTAGGCCTCTGCCTCAGAAGTTCCTGGTCTTCAGTACTCACCTATAATGGCCACTAAGGGGAATGAGAAAAGAAGGAAGGAATGGAGGGAGGGAGGAAAATAAGGATATCTGGGATGGGATTGGGCACCAAAATAAAATCTGAGTAATTGGAAAAGGGGTGTCAGCAACAAAAGGAGAGTGGATGGGGTGGCTACTCACCAGACGGAGTGATGTCTGTGTGACACAGAGGCCCTGTAGGAGGTTGAGGGACTAGTTTCTTTTTCCTTTTTTTTTTTTTGTCTGAGGCAGACTCTCACTCTGTCGCCCAGGCTGGAGTGTAGTGGTGTGATCTCAGCTCACTGCAACCTCTGCCTCCCAGGTTCAAGTGATTCTCCTGCCTCAGCCTCCGTAGTAGCTGGGACTACAAGTGCCCGCCACCACACCAGGCTAATCTTTGTATTTTTAGTAGAGAGGGGTTTCGCCATGTTGGTCAGGCTGGTCTTGAACTCCTGTCCTCAGGTGATCCACCCGCCTCGGCCTCCCAAAGTGCTGGGCCTCGGCTCCCACAGGCATGAGCCGCTGCGCCCAACAGCGAGTTCTTTTCAAAACCCTTTGTGGCCAGCCCCATCTCATTGGTAACCCAGGAATCTGAGTTCCCAGCTCCTATCTCCTCTGGGAAATGAGAATCTTATCCCTCCCTCCTCCTGTCTCAGTAGGCAGAAATTTGGACATCCATTGCCCACCTACCGAAGAAGTCTGAACGCAGACCCCTCTGGCCTGGGCAACCAAGAGTTCAGGCCCTTGAACTCCACCTTTCCAGGGAACAATGATCGTAGAGTTTCTCCTCTCACGAGTTCAGGAATCTGGGTCCCCATTTCCCTCTTCTCTCAGGAGCTAAGAGCCCTGTTCCCAGCCCCCTTTTCCCAGGGAATCAGGAGTCCTGGCTTCCATCCCCCTCCCATATAAGAATCTGGGAGTCCTCCCTGTCTCCTGACCTCTTCCTGCCTCAAGAACCAGAGATACCTGTCCCCACCTCCTTCCTCTTTCGGGAATCTGTGTTCTCTTGCTTTAGGACCCAGGGGTCTGGGCCCCAGCCCTGTTCTTTATTTGAACCTAGAATCCCAAACCTGCTGCCTGGTCCCCCTGCAGGGTGTCTGGGTCTCCATTGCCTCTCTCTCTGCCCCCAACCCCAGCCAGGAACCCAGGGAGAAGAAAGGGGTGACTCACAGAGGGTCAGCAGCTGGAGGATCAGCACCAGGGCCATGGTGGGCAGATACCCGCTAGAGCTGGAGCCAGGGCTTGGTCGCACCCTCTCCCCTCCCAGGAAATGAGGCAACATCAGAAAACCAGACCCAGATCCTCATTTACGGAAGAGAGTATCGAGGTGGGGGCCTGTGGGTGACTGTGTCATAGCCCTATGGCACTGTGGAAAAATTAGCAGGGGGTTCAGTCATAACCTGTGGTGTTCATTTATTTAACTCTAGAAACAAATACTAGTCAGGAGGTGGAGGCAGGAGGATCGCTTGAGCCCAAGAGTTCAAGAGCAGCCTGGGCAACAGAGCGAGACCCTGTCTAAAAAATAAATAAATTGTGCCACTGCACTCCAGCCTGGGTGATAGAGTGAGACCATGTCTTTAAATATAGATAGACAGATAGAAAGATATCTGTCTGTTTTAAAAATAAGAACCTATTATGTGCCAGACTCTTGCTGTCATTGATTGACAGATAGATAAAAATTTGCACCTATTATGTGCCAGGCCCTTGCTGTGATTGAAAGATAGATAGATGGATGGATGGATAGATAGATAGATAGATAGATAGATAGATAAAAATTAGCACCTGTTAAGTGCCAGGCCCTTGCTGTGATTGATTGATGGATAGATAAAAATTAACACCAATTATGTGCCAGGCCCTTGCTGTGATTAATTGATCGATTGATAGATTGGTTGACAGAGAAAAATTAGCACCTATTATGTGCCAGGCTCTTGGTGTGATACTGTGTTAGATAGATAGATAGATAGATAGATAGATAGATAGATAGATAAAAATTAGCCCCTCTAGGCCGGGCGCGGTTGTTCACGCCTGTAATCCCAGCACTTTGGGAGGCCAAGGCGGGTGGATCACCTGAGATCGGGAAGTTCGAGACCAGCCTGACCAACATGGAGAAACCCCCGTCTCTCCTAAAAAAGAAAAATTAGCCGGCTGTGGAGGCGCGCGCCTGTAATCCCAGCTATTCAGGAGGCTGAGGCAGGAGAATCGCTTGAACTCGGGAGTCGGAGGTTGCTGTGAGCCGAGATCGCGCCATTGCACTCCAGCCTGGGCGACAGAGCTAGACTCAATCTCAGAAGAAAAAAAAAAAAATTAGAACCTATTACGTGCCAGACCCTCGCTGTGCCATGTTGGCAGGCACAGAGGGAACTCAGACTCCGTTACTGCTCTCAAGCAGCAGCTACCAGTCCGACTGAAAGACCAAGACCAGGTCAGTTTCCTTTTTTTTTGAGACGGAGTCTCGCTCTGTCGCCCAGGCTGGAGTGCAGTGGTGTGATCTCGGCTCACTGCAAGCTCCGCCTCCCGGGTTCACGCCATTCTCCTGCCTTAGCCTCCCCAGTAGCTGGGACTACGGGCGCCCACCACCACGCCCGGCTAATTTGTGTTGTATTTTTAAGTAGAGACAGGGTTTCACCATGTTAGCCAGGATGGTCTAGATCTCCTGACCTCGTGATCCGCCCGCCTCGGCCTCCCAAAGTGCTGGGATTACAGGCGTGAGCCACCGCGCCCGGCCCAGACCAGGTCAGTTTCTTAAGTGATCTGAGCTATAATGGCGGTAACAGAGCACTGTGAGAGCCCGCAGAAAGCTCCTAACCCATCTGGGATGAGACCTAGCGCTTCCAGGACGAGCCGATGTTGAGCTGAGACCTCGAAGGACAGGTTAGTCATTCACCTTCTCCCGGGCTCAGTTTCTTCGTCTGTAAAATGGGCTTTCATACATAAACTATAAAATGGGGACTATTTTGTTCCGCCTTAGGTGGGTCGCAGCAGGAGGACTAGTCACTCCGGAGCGACTTCTAGGCTGAGACTAAGGAGATTCCACGCAGGTCCGCAAAGTCAGGCTTGCGCTTGCTCCTGACACCACTTCCTTTACCTCCACGGCTCCATCTTTGTTCTGCGCGAGTGCGCACGCGCAGGCTCCGAAAGCGGGCCGTCGCACAGAGGGACCACAACTCCCAGAGTGCTCCGCGTCCTTGCTTTCGCCTCTACTTGTGCTCCAGGGCGCACGCGCAGCCCTGGGAGCGGGTTCTCGCGCATAGGGACCACAACTCCCAGGGTGCTCCGCGTCCTCGCCGCTGTCGCCGCCGCGGAGACAAAGATGGCTGCGAGTAAGTGCAGGTTCCGGTGGCGCACGGGGCTCGGGTAGTTCTGGGAACCTCTGGGCGGTCCTGGGACTGAGGTGCGGCAGGGCAGGGGTGGAAGCGATGGGGTCCGTGCTGGAGGGGAACGCAGAAGTCACGAGGGGGCTCCTCCAGGGCAGGGGTGGCACGAGAGGGTTAGAGGTCACCGGGGGCAGCTACTTGCAGGGGTGACGCTTCTTGCCACCCCTTCAGGAGTCGGCGCCTTCCTCAAGAATGCCTGGGACAAGGAGCCAGTGCTGGTCGTGTCCTTCGTCGTCGGGGGCCTCGGTGCGTGAGTGCTCCAGGCGCAAACTTGCATCGTCCACCCCCGTCCCCCTACATCCCTCCATCTTGTACCCCTAAAGCCCTATCGCCGCCCTCGGGTCCCCTCTAGTGTGTCTGCACCCCCACGGCATCCCCTTATCTATCCCCATACCCATTATAACCTCTCCACCATCGCCCCCCGCGTTCCTCTCCACCTACCCAATACGCTCTTAACCCCTCTAAATGAGACGTTCTCAACCCTGCTTATGCCTTAACACCTGAGCACCAAAAAAAAGTCCAGATCCTCCTCCTCCTTTTCATCTTTCCTCTCCCCCATTCTGAATTGAGTTGGCTTGGGTGGAGGTGGGACTGGGGAATCTGTGTCTTGTGAAAATCCCCGTATGATCCCAATGTGCCTTGCTGATTGAAAATCTCTGCCCTCTGCCCTGGAACTGCCCTACTCACACTTTAATTAGCACCGGAGTTCCTGCAGGGATGGGGGCGGGGGATTGTTAAAATGTAGCTTTTTTTTTTGCGATGGAGTCTCACTCTCACCCAGGCTGAAGTGCAGTGGCGCGATCCCGGCTCACTGCAACCTCGGCCTCCTGGGTTCAAGGGATTCTCCTGCCTCAGCCTCCCGAGTAGCTGGGATTACAGGCGCCCAGCTAATTTTTTGTTTTTGTTTTTGAGACTGAGTCTCGCTCTGTCGCCCAGGCTGGAGTGCAGTGGCGCGATCTCGGTTCAGTGCAAGCCCCGCCTTCCGGGTTCACGCCATTCTCCTGCCTCAGCCTCCCGAGTAGCTGGGACTACAGGCGCCCGCCCCCATGCCCGGCTAATTTTTTGTATGTTCAATAGAGACGGGGTTTCACCGTGTTAGCCAGGATGGTCTCGATCTCCTAACCTCGTGATCCTCCCAACTCGGTCTCCCAAAGTGCTGGGATTACAGGCGTGAGCCACCGCGCCCGGCCAGCTTTTTTTTTTTTTTTTTTTTGAGATGGCGTCTCGCTCTGTCTTCCAGGCTACAGTGCAATGGTTTGATCATGGCTCACTGCAACCTCCGCCTCTAGGGTTCAAGTGATTCTCCTGCCTCCGCCTCCCAAGTAGCTGGGATTACAGGCGAGCACCACCACGCCCGGCTAATTTTTGTATTTTTAGTAGAGACAAGGTTTCACCATGTTGGCCAGGCTGGTCTTGAACTCCTGACCGCAAGTGATCTGCCTTCCCAAAGTGCTGGGATTACAGGGGTGAGCCACTGCGCCCGGCCAAACTGTAGGTTCTGATTCTGTAGGTCTGGGGTGGGGCATGGGATTCTGCATTTTTGAAGAGTTCCCAGGTCTTGTCAGTACTGCTGGTCCACCAGCCAGGCACTAGGTTAAGGTTCTGAACACTTATTCAGTATGGCAGCCACCAGCCACAACTGGCCACTGAGCATTTGAAGTGGTGCTGGTATGAATTGAGGTGGTATAAGACACTGGATTTCAAAAACTTAGTATAACAGAGTGTGTAAACTACCAATAATCTTTTGTTGATTACATGGCGAAGTGATGTTTTGGATGTACTATGGTTTTTTTTGTTTGTTTGTTTTTGTTTTTTTGAGACGGAGTTTCGCTTTTGTCCAGGCTAGAGTGCAATGGCCTGATCTCGGCTCACTGCAACCTCCGCCTCCCGGGTTCAAGCGATTCTCCTGTCTCAGCCTCCTTAGTAGCTGGGATTACAGGCGCATGCCACTACACCTGGCTGTTTTTGTATTTTCAGTAGAGACGGGGTTTCATCATATTGGTCAGGCTGGTCTCGAACTCCTGACCTCAGGTGATCCACCCGTCTCAGCCTCCTAAAGTCCTGGGATTATAGGCATGAGCCACCTCGCCCATCCAAGTATGTTTCTTAAAATTTGTTTCATCTGTATCTCTTATTTTTACTGTAGCTACTAGAAGATATAAAATTATATACCTGGCTCTTACCATCTGTCAGACAGCACTGGCCTAGAACATTCCTTTTATGAACTGTACCCCATCCCCCAGGACTCCTGGCTCCCACCCTAAATGGACTGTGGTCAGTGACTGTTGTTTGTGCAACCCTTTCTCCTCCAGTTTGTAAGGCTTTTTTTTTTTTTTTTTTTTGGTG
This sequence comes from Homo sapiens, assembly GCF_000001405.40. Taxonomy (NCBI): domain Eukaryota; kingdom Metazoa; phylum Chordata; class Mammalia; order Primates; family Hominidae; genus Homo; species Homo sapiens. Next base: position 79,710 of record NW_003571056.2, read on the forward strand.
ATGGAGTCTCTCTCTGTTGCCCAGGCTGGAGTGCAATGGCACAATCTGGGCTCACTGCAACCTCTGCCTCCCAGGCTCAAGGGATTCTTCTGCCTCAGCCTCCTGAGTAGCTGGGATTACAGGCTCCTGCCACCACGCCCGGCTAATTTTCGTATCTTTAGTAGAGATGGGGTTTCATCATGTTGTCCAGGCTGGTCGCGAACTCCTGACCTCAGGTGATCCGCCCACATTGGCCGCCCAAAGTGCTGGGATTACAGGCTTGAGCCACTGTGCCCGGCCAAATTTGTAACAGTCTTGATTTCTCCAGAACAGTCCCATGACACTACCCCCAGGATGCTCCATGATGACCCTACACTCAAACGTGCTCATTCCATGACCAACCCCACTGCTGCCTCCTCCAGGCCCCACGTATCTGTGAGTGTTAGGCTCCAACCCCTACCTCCACTTAACCCCCCAAAAAAGAGTTTTAAACCCTCCTGTCTATAAGTAGGGATCCCAAGGTACCAAGGATCCTCCTGGACGTGCTGGCCCTCCCTGCTGCCCTCCCCCTGCGCACTTTATCTTCCCTTTGCCAAGGCTCACCTTCTCTTCCCCTCTCTTCAGAGCCACCTTCCCCTGGGCCTCACCCCTGTGTCTCTCCACAGCTGTAATTCTGCCCCCATTGAGCCCCTACTTCAAGTACTCCGTCATGATCAACAAGGCCACGCCCTACAACTACCCAGGTGAGTGGGGGCCAGGCAGGGATCCCCGGAATAGGCCCAGCCTCCCTGTGCTGGCGTAAGGGCAGTTATGGGCAGGTCTTTCCTAAGCAGTTATCAGAGATTCTGCAGTGGTGCCCGGACCCCCCGTTCCATTTTTTAAGAATTGAGATATAATTCGTATACTATTCTGTGTTTGTGCTTCGTTTTTGTTTTTTTGGGTTTTTTTGAGACAGAGTCTCGCTCTGTCGCCAAGGCTGGAGTGCAGTGGCGCGATCTCAGCTCACTGCAAGCTCAGCCTCCCGAGTAGCTGGGACTACAGGTGCCCGCCACCACGACACGCAAACTTTTTCGTATTTTTTTAGTAGAGGCGGGGTTTCACCGTGTTAGCCAGGATTGTCTCGATCTCCTGACCTTGTGATCCACTCACCTCGGCCTCCCAAAGTGCTGGGATTACAGGTGTGAGCCACCGCGCCTGGCCTGTGCTTCGAGTTTCTATTACCTTTCCAGATTTCTGTCTCTCTCTGGGTTCCCATCTGTGGTGGTTTCTTGGTCTCCATCTTCTCAGGTTTCTGTCCTGTTTCCCCATCTCTTTTGACCCTAGCTCTCTAGTGCGCGGGATCTCTCCCTCGCTATCTCTCTGGTTTTCCGTGTCTCTCAGTCTCTGTATTTCCCGCCTCTTTCTGCATCACTGATTCTCTGACCCTTCCCCTCTCACCCCTGGGGTCCCCCTTCCCTCTCTGAACATAAAGCGACAGACCAGCTCTTCTCTCCAGGGCCCTGGAGACGTGCTGGTCTCAGTGGCCCACCTCCTGCCCCACAGTGCCCGTCCGTGATGATGGGAACATGCCCGACGTGCCCAGCCACCCCCAGGACCCTCAGGGCCCCAGCCTGGAGTGGCTGAAGAAACTGTGAGCACCTCCACTGACAGAGGCGGCCCCTCCCACGGCTCCCAATAAAAATGTGAAAACCAACCCCCGAACGTGAGCATGTGTGTGATCAGAGGTGGGAACAAGTAGACGGTGGCCGGGGTGAGTGTGGGGTCAGTTTATTGGGCATGCGTCAGTCAGAGGCTGGGCTGGCCAGGGTCGGGTAGGGCAGCAGTTTGTCTGGACCCCGAGAAACCCAACTGGAATCCAGGGCCTCATCTGCTTCAAAGCCAAAGTCTTCCTCAACCTTAATCTGCAGGAGATAAGGAACAAGGTGTTAACAGGCCTGGGAATCTAGAAAATCCCATCAGCTTCACCATTTTTGTTTTCATTTTGTTTTGCTTTTTAAAGAGACAGGGTCTCACTCTGTTGCCCAGGCTGGAGTGCAGTGGTGCCATCATAGTTCACTGCAGCCTCTGCCTCCCAGGCTCAAGTGATCCTCCCACCTCAGCTTCCCAAGTAGCTGGGACTACAGGCACTTGCCAACCAAGCCTAACATGTTTTTTCTTTTTGGTAGAGATGGGGTCTCAGTATGTTGCTCAGGCAGGTCTCAGACTCCTGGCCTCAAGTGATCCTCCCACCTAGGCCTCCCAAAGTGCCGGGATTACAGGCATGAGCCACTGCACCTGGCCAGCCTCACAGTTCTTGTCTGCCCAGGCCAGTCACCTTCCTCCTTACACCTCAGAGGCAATCCCAGTGTTCCTGGGTCCAGATGTTCTTCCAGCTTTCCTCCCCACACTGGGCCTTCCCTTCCACTCCGTCTTCTCTGATCCTTCCTTCTCCTCTACTCCCAGCCTTCTCTAGCTATTTTTCCTTCTCCAGGTCTTCCTCTTTCCCTTTCCAACTTTGCCTCCTTTTTACCCAAGCCTTTACCCCACTTTTTCCAACTACTTCCCTGCCTGATCCTAGGCCTCCAACATGTCCTGGTTCACCTCCCTTCTCCAACTTTCCCCAGCCCTGGGCCCCTCGGGGTGCAGAACCAAAACCCAAGAGCCCTGAACCTAACTCAGCCCCAGCCCTGGCCCCTCCCCTTGAGTCCCCCCTCCTTACCTGCACTGGCGCCGGCTCTGGAGCCCCAGTCCCTCCCCTTGAGTTCCCGCCTTCCTCACCTGCACCGGGGCCAGCTCTGGAGTCAGCGCATTTCCTGCTCGGCGTCCATCCCGTGGCACTCGCCGCCTCTTCCGCCCACTGGGCCCCTCACCGGGGGCTGGGCTGCCGGGTTCTGGGGGTGCAGGAGTCCTTCTGGGCGGGGACAGTGTCTCTTTCTCTGGAGGCTCATTCTCCGCATTGCCTGGGGTGGGGGCATCCGTGCCCTGGCTGCCCTCATCCTGGCAGGCAGGAGGGGGAGGTAGGTGATGGGTGGGTCCTGAGCTCCCAGTTCCTGACCCTCCTGGAGGCCCAACACTCACCTCCAGCACAATGGTGAACTGGCTGGCCCGGTAGTCATCCCCGTAGGAGTCCAGCACTCTCATGAGGAACCTGCTCAGGGGGAGAAGCCACCAACGGAATAACTTATCTCCTAGCGGCTGGGGAAAAGGGCCACAGGATAGAGCTCAGCTCCCACTCCACTCAACGCCAAAGCTGTCCTGGAGCCAGACGGTCCTGAGCTCTGGCACTGGAGGCCTGGGAGCCATGCCCTTGACCAGCCTTGAGACCTCGAGCAAGACAAGGCAACCATTCTGAGGCTGAGTTTCCTGCTCTGCAAACGACATGACACCCTCGGCTGGATGTTGCAGCGGTGACACTGAAGTAGTGACACCAGACGATTTCTGTACTTAATGTGATGTCAGCACTTAGTAAACATTCATATGTGAGTTATAATTTTTATTGATAACTGAAGAGAGGGGAGTACAGAACGCTCCTCCTAATGACCTCACCTCTTATAAACACCCCCTTCTCTTTTTTCCCCAGCCCCTGCCTCCAGAGTTCCTTAAGGTTCAATTGATGGAATGCCTCCTCTGCACCAGCACCTGGGCAGGTTTGTTGTTGTTGTTTTGCGACGGAATCTCACTCTGTCACCCAGGCTGGAGTGCAGTGGCGTGAATTTGGCTCACCACAACCTCCACCTCCCTGGTACCAGCGATTCTCCTGCCTCAGCCTCCCGAGTAGCTGGGACTACAGGCGCCTGCCACTACACCCGGCTAATTTTTTTGTATTTTTAGTAGAGACGGAGTTTCACCGTGTTAGCCAGGATGGTCCCGATCTCCTGACCTCGTGATCCGCCTGCCTCGGCCTCCCAAAGTGCTGGGATTACAGGCATGATGAGCCACTGCGCCCGGCCTATTTCAACTTAAGTGAAAATCTCACCTGTGGCCAGCGGCTACCGTGCTGGACAGCACAGGTACGGACAGAGGAACCCTGGGAGCCGCAGGTTTCAGCTTTGGGGAGGGAGGATGAACTAGCAAAGGCAGCCAAGAAGGAACAGCCGGAAAGGCAGGAGACCCCAGGTTGCTGGGTGCCCAGGATGGCAAGAATGGGCTCCAGGGAAGAGCACATAGCCCTGGGCCACTGTGCCGAGCCTGAGCCAAGGACTGAGATGAGAACTGTGGTTGACTCAGCAACGTGGAGCCATTCCTACAAAACTTGCTCCAGTTTTGCTGGTACAGGGACACTGCGAGTGGCAGGGGCAGCAGCCACCTGGGCAGGTTCTGTGGAGACACACAGTGGGAAGCTCTGAGCTCAGCTCACCACCTGCAAGCTCCGACAACCCTGCCGCAGCCTCATGATATTGGTGCTGCCCTTAGTTGATAGGAAACAGCTCAGAGAAGGGACACTGCTTGCTTAGAGTCACACAGCAAAAAAAAAAGAAAATACTTGCAGTCAGGTCTGTGCTCGTGTGCCTTCCATCCTGCTGTTCCCTCCCTTCAGGGGGAGGAGGCCCTCCACCCGGCCCTCCCTCAGTCCCAGTGCTCAGCCCTCTCCACCCGGCCCTCCCTCAGTCCCAGCGCACAGCCCCTTCCACCCGGCCCTCCCTCAGTCCCAGTGCTCAGCCCTCTCCACCCGGCCCTCCCTCAGTCCCAGTGCTCAGCCCTCTCCTCCAACACCGAATCCCACTCTTCCTCCTTGTTTGCCTCAGCCCCCGGCCCTCATCTCCGGCTTCTCCTTGTGGCTTGTGAGGGTTGGGTGGATGTGGAAGTGGGAGAGACAGAGGGGCTGGGAGCATTTGGGAGCTGAGGCTCACAGGCCCAGAGGGGACGGAGAAGGGGTTACCTCCGTTCCTGCTGCAGCCTCCGAGTTATCCTCTGCACCTGATGGAGCCTGTTCAGGACCCGCTCGTTCACCTATGGGGTGGGAAACGCCCATCAGCTGGATCCCACGGCTCCCGTTCATTTGTTTAACGGATGTTTAATGGGGCACGCACTAAACTCTGGAGACTGGCCAAAGACCATCCCGTGGCCTGAGGTCCTTCCACCTTCCCATCCCTCCGGCTCCCCTCTCACCATGCCACAGTCCTGAGTGCCCTCCAGTGGGGGCCTTCCGCGTGCTGTTCCTCTACCTGGACCCTCTCCCCAGTCATCCGCACAACTTACTCCCCACTCCAAGTCTTAGGTCAACTGTTACCTGCTCAGAGAGCCTGAACCTCCCATTAAGTCGAAACACACCAGGCCAGGTGCGGTGGCTCACGCCTGTAATCCCAGCACTTTGGGAGGCCGAGGCGAGTAGGTCCCCTGAGGTCAGGAGTTCGAGACCAGCCTGGCCAACATGATGAAACCCCATCTCTACTAAAAATACAAAAAATTAGCTGGGCGTGGTGGCAGGTGCCTGCAGGATAGTCGCACGAACCTGGGAGGTGGAGGGGTGAAGTGAGTTGAGATCACCCCACTGCACTCCAGCCTGGGCAACAGAGCGAGGTTCTGTTTCAAAAAAAAAAATTGCAACACACCCGACCCCCCTTCCCATGCCAGAACCCCACCCGGCCATTCACTCCTGGCTTTATTTCCTCCTAGTGCTCATCTGAGGAGGCAGGACGCAGCCTCTCCGCCTCTTTGCTTATTCTGCTGACTGACCGCCTCTCCAGCCAGAGCATGAGCTGAAAAACGACAGCAACTTGTTTCTACATCCCGTGCCTTAACCAGAGCCTGGCACGTAGTACATCCTCCATGAACATTTGCAGAATCAATGACTTTGCAAAGTGAGAAGTGCTTGGTGAATACCAAAGAGTCAGACATGCTGGAGGTTAGGGCAGGAGGTGCGACTTTAGTTACGACCTGCAGAGAAGGCCCGTGGGCCCAGACTTGAATAAGGAGGAGACAAAGGGGTGACAGGAGGAAAGTATGCCAGGCTGAGGGGACAGCCCTGCACGCAGCTTCTGAGGACTCCAGCCTAGACATGGAGGGAGAGATGTGACTCAGCCAAACAGGGACCCAAAGACAGTGGCTGAAGCAGGTGCTGCTCCTGGGTCAGAAAGACCTGAGTTCCGGGCGGGGCACAGTGGCTCACGCCTGTAATCCCAGCACTTTGGGAGGCCGGGGCGGGCAGATCACTTGAGGTCAGGAGTTCAAGACCAGCCTGGCCAACATGGTGAAACCCCGTCTCTACTAAAGATACAAAAATTGGCCGGATGTTGTGGCACATGCCTGTAATCTCAGCTACTCAAGAGTTTGAGGTCGGGAGTTCCAGACCAGCCCGGCCAACATGATGAGACCTCATCTCTACTAAAAAAAAAAAAAAAAAAAGAAAAATACAAAAATTAGCTGGGTATGGTGGCGCATGCCTGTAATCCCAGTTTCTCAGGAGGCTGAGGCAGGAGAATCGCTTGAACCCAGGAGCTGGAGGTTGCAGTGAGCCGAGATCACACCACTGCCCTCCAGCCTGGGTGACAGAGTAAGACTCTGTCTCAAAAGAAAAAAAAAAAAAAAAGTGCCAGGCACGGTGGCTCACGCTTGTAATCCCAGCACTTTCAGAGGCCAAGGCGAGCGGATCACCTGAGGTCAGGAGTTTGAGACCAGCCTAACGTGGTGAAACCCTGTCTCTACTAAAAATACAAAATTAGCCAGGTGTAGTGGCGCATGCCTGTAATCCCAGCTACTCGGGAGGCTGAGGCAGGAGAATCGCTTGAACCCAGGAGGCGGAGGTTGCAGTGAGCTGAGATTGCAGCATTGCACTCCAGCCTGGACAACAAGAGCGAAAATCCATCTAAAAAAAAAGAGTTCAAGTTTTGGCTCTGGCTTGGCACAGTGGCTCATGCCTATAATCCCAGCACTTTGAGAGGCCAGGAGTTCGACACCAGCCTGGGCAACAGAGTGAGACCCCAACACTCAAAAACTAACCAAAAAAATTAGCTGGGCTTGGTGGCTGTAGTCCCAGCTCCTTCGGAGGCTGAGATTGCTAGAGTCCAGGATGTTGGGGCTGCAGTGAGCCACAGTCATGCCACTGCACTCCAGCCTGGGCAACAGAGAAAGACCCTGTCTCAAAAAAAAAAAAAAATCTCAGATCTGCCACTGCTGAGCTCTGAGCTTGGGTGCATTACTTAACCTCTCTGAGCCTTGATTTTCTATACTTGTAAAATAGTAGTAATCTATTCCTGGGGGTGGATTAATGGCAGAGGCTCCAGTTGAGTCCGTTTGGGCCTTGGTGTCTGTCTGTTAAACAGGGTTTGGAATATGCCCCTGGCCTCTAGCCTTCCTCCTTACAGAACTCCCCAATACTGTCATTAAGAATTGAGGCCAGATGTGGTGGCTCATGCCTGTAATCCTAGCATTTTGGGAGGTCAAGGCGAGTGGATCACTTGAGGTCAGGAGTTCAAGACCAGCCTGGGCAACATGGCAAAACCCCATCTCTACAAAAAGTACAAAAATTAGCCAGGTGTGGTGGTGTGTGCCTGTAGTCCCAGCTATTTTGGGGGCTGAGGCAGGAGGACTGCTTGAACCTGGGAGACTGAGGCTGCAATGAGCTGAGATTGCGCCACTGCACTCCAGCTTTGGTGACAAAGTGAGAACCTGTCTCAAGAAAGAGAAAAAGAGTTGAAGGCCAGGCGTGGTGGCTCAAGCCTGTAATCCCAGCACCTTGGGAGGCTGAGGTGGGCAGATCACCTGAGGTCAGGAGTTTGAGACCAGCCTGACCAACATGGTGAAACCCTGTCTCTACTAAAAATAGAAAAATTAGCTGGGTGTGGTGGCGGGCGCCTGTAATCCCAGCTACTAGGGAGGCTGAGTCAGGAGAATCACTTGAACCCAGGAGGTGGAGGTTACAGTGAGCTGAGATGGTGCCATTGCACTCCAGCCTGGGAGACAAGAGCGAGACTCCACCTCAAAAAAAAAAAAAAAAAAAAAAAAAAAGTTGAATTATTTCCCCCAAAAGAGGGTGTTGAGGCTTTAACCCCCAGTACCTCAGGATCACCTTATATGGAGACAGTGTCGTTACAAAAGTAATCAAGTTCAAATGAAGCCAGTGGGTGGGCCCTAATCCAGTATGACTGGAGTCCTTATAAAAAGGGTAAATTGGGACACAGACACACACACAGGGAGCAGCAATGTGAAGATGAAGGCGGAGATCAGGGTGATGTTTGTACGTGCCAATGACTGCCAGAAACCTCCAGAAGCCAGGGGAGAGGCCTGGAAGATTCTCACAACCCTGTCGACACCTTGCCTTGGATGTCTAGCCTCCAGAACTGTCAGACAGGAATTTCTGTGCTTGAGGGACCCTATTTGTGATAAGTTCTGGGAGTCCAAGCAGACTAATACAACTGTCTTCAGAGTTTCAGGCATCCAGACCTGATGCTGTTCCTCCCCCATTTGAAACCCTTCAGTGGCTCCTTCACTCTCAAGGAAAAAAAAATATCCAGACTTCTTGTCCTGGTGTTCCTGGCCTGCCAAGATCTGAGCCCTGCCTGCTGTTTAATCCTCATTGATTGATTGATTGATTTTGAGACGGAGTCTCACTCTGTCACCCAGGCTGGAGTACAGCAGCATGATCTTGGCTCACTGCAACCTCCGCCTTCCGGGTTCAAGCAATTCTCATGCCTCAGCCTCCCTAGTAGCTGCGACTACAGGTGCGCACCACCACACCTGGCTAATTTTTTTGTATTTTAGTAGAGATGGGGTTTCACCATGTTGGCCAGGCTGGTCTCGAACTCCTAACCTCAGGTGATCCGCCTGCCTCAGCCTCCCAGTGCTAGGATTACAAGCGTGAGCCACCATGCCCAGCCCATCCTTATTCTCAGCAAGGAGGCTATTGCAGTCATTCAGCCCAGACAGCTGGAGTTTGCAATGGCAGCCATAGGGATGGAGGAGAGGAGAAGGGTCCAGAGACACTCAAGAGGCGGAATGAATGAGTCGAGAGGAGTGAATCCTGGCAGGGGTATGGGAGATGTGAAGAGCTTGGGCTTTCACCTGTGAGCGGTGCCACGCATTGAGAGGCCCCCGGGAGACATCAGAGAACCCATCTGCGTTGTCAGGGAAGCTCCACGGGAGATGGCCCTTCCAGGGGCCCGGCACAGGGCCAGACACATAATGCATGCTAAATGACTGAATATATAAGCTAAATGACTGAATATATCAGCAAGCCAAGAAAGGCTGGGCATGTGGAAAGGCAGAGATTGCGGGGGGCGGTAGTTTAGGCCAGGGGACCCCAAAACCGGGGGATCCGCACTCACCTACCTGCTCGATCTCCCGGCAGCGCCGACCTAGTGCCTGGTACTTTCTGCGATTTAATTCCCGCTGGCGCCGCCGCCGACCCCGGGCTGCCTCTTCCTCTTCATCTCGCTCCCGGAGCCCTGAGCCGCCCAGACCACCTGACACAAACTCCACTTCCGTCTCCAGCTCGCTCTCCAGGATGTGGCCACCAAATAGGGGAGGCAACGCCAACTCTGAGCCTGGCGGCGCTGAGAACTCCTCAAAGCCCACGGCTGCCATGGTCCTGAGAGGCAGGGAAAGGCTCAGGGGCCCTGGATCCTGGACCCCCAGCCCCTTCTCCCACTGAACCAGGAGCCCAGACCCCAACCCCTCCTCCCTGAGATCCTAGAATCCAGGCCCCCAGCCCCTCCTCCCTCAGACCGTAGAATCCAGCTCCCAGCCCTCCTCCCTCAGACCCAGAAGTCCAAGTCCGCAACCCACCCTTCGCAGCACCCACAGGGTTCAAGCCCTGACCCCCTCCTCCCAGGATGCAAGAGTCCAGACCTCCAGACTTTTTCTCTCCAAGGACCCAGGGAGTCCAAGCCCCAACCCTCAACCAGACGCAAGAGTCCTGGCTTCCAACCTCCTAGTCTGTCAGATCCAGCAGTCCAAACCCCTAACCTTCTCCTCCCTCAGGATGACCCCAGTCCATAAAAGGGTTCTAAGGTAAAGCAGTTGCATGAACTACAACCCCCATCAGACCTCAGCGTAAAAGCTCATATGGTTGCACACAATGCAGCTGCACTGTTTTCTGGGATTCGCACTTTTTCACAAGGGCTCAGCCACATACCCTTCTCTCTGCTCCAATTCCATCTCCGCGACCTCCGGAAGCCCCGGGCCTCAGAGCTTCCGACCTCTTCAATCTGTAGGTTAAGCCGTTCGCAAAACTACTTGTCCCATCAGGCTCAGCAGCCGAGGACGGCGGGACGTGGCCCTAGGCCTTGTGGGAGTTGTAGTTTCCTGTTTCCGGCTTCGCTTCGGCCCACCCCCACGTCCACCCCGAATCCCTGCTTAAAGGCCTTGCTTTCTTGTCTAACGCCGCAACCAGTCCTCTGAGTTGCCAACGTCTTTCTTCTTGTCTCGACGCCCCGTCGTCCGGCCACAGCGATTCTCTGCTTAGCAGGATCGGTCCACAGCGGGACGTGAGTCCCTTTCCTCCTCGCGGCTTACCGCCTCTCTCCGCCTAGTGCCAGGTGCTAATAAAGTTGTTGTTTCAAATGCGGCCAGGAACATCGCGAGCGGGGACCAATCAGAGAGTAGCTTTGCCTCTATAACGGCGCGAGAGTGAGACGTCATCGGTGAGCGACTAACGCTAGAAACAGTGGTGCGCGGAGAGGAGAGGTGAGTGTGATGGAGACCACGGGGAGCGGGAGGCTGGGCTCCTGGGTCTGGGAGAAGAAGTGTGTGAGGAAAAAGGCGGGTCTTTACAGCTTGGTTTTTGTTTTTTTGTTGTTTGTTTGTTTTGAGACGGAGTCTCGTTCTGTTGCCCAGGTTGGAGAGCAGTGGCGCGATCTCGGCTCATTGCAACCTCCGTCTCCCGGGTTCAAACGATTCTTCTGCCTCAGCCTCCAGAGTAGCTGGGATTACAGGCGCCCGCCACCACCCCTGACTAATTTTTGTATTTTTAGTAGAGACGGGGTTTCCCCATGTTGGTCAGGCTGGTCTCGAACTCCTGATCTCGTGATCCGCCCGCCTCGGCCTCCCAAAGTGCTGTGATTACAGGCATGATCCACCGCGCCTGGCCAGTTGTTTGTTTGTTTTGTCTGAGACGGAGTTTCGCTCTTGTTGCCCAGGCTGGAGTGCAGTGGCGCGATCTCGGTTCACTGCAACCTCCGCCTCCCGGATTCAAGCGATTCTCCTGCCTCAGCCTCCCGAGTAGCTGGGATTACAGGCGCGCACCACCACGCCCGGCTAGTTTTTTGTATTTTTAGTAGAGACGGGGTTTCACTATGTTGGCCAGGCTGGTCTCCAACTCCTGACCTCAGATGATCCACCCGCCTGGGCCTCCCAAAGTGCTGGGATTACAGGCATGAGCCACCGCTCCCGGCCTTTTACAGCCTGTTTACCCAAAAGTCTTAATATGCGCCTACCATGGTGTGGCCCTGGGGATGTGGAAGGAGCAAAAATTGTTCGCTACCCTCTTAGAGCTTTGGTTGATGCCTGGCAGACAGGCTTTATCAAATAATTACTTCATTAATCACAAATGTGTGAAGTGCCTTACTGTAGACACGCAGAGCGTGCGGGACACGTTATCACAAAGCAACCTCCTGTAGTCTAGAGTGGGGCGTGTGGGTCAGGGAGGTGGAACGTGAGAGCTGAAGGCTGAGGAGATGCTGGGCTACTAAGAAGTGAGGAGAGCCAGACGCCATGGCTCACTCCTGTAATCCCAGCACTTTGGGTGGCCCAGGCGAAAGGATCGCTTGAGCCCAGGAGTTTGAGACCAGCCTGAGCAACACAGTGAGACCCTGTCTCTACAGAAAAATTTAAAAATTAGCCGGGCGTGCTGGTGCGTGCCTGTCATCTCAGCTATCGGGAGGCTGAGGCGGGAGAATCGCTTGAGCCCAGGTGATCGAGGCTGCCGTGAGCTATGATGGCGCCACTGCACTGCAGCCTAGGTGACAGAGCAAGACATGGTCTCAAAAAAAAGAAAAGAAAAGAAAAAACAAAGTGAAGGAAAGGGCCACTTTAGTTACAAGGGACTCCTGTACAAAGACCTGGAGGCGGGAAGAGACCGATAATGTAACCAACTCAAGTTTCTGCTACTCAGAGGCAGAGGAAGTGGGGGGTGGTGAAAGTAAAGCAGCTTTACTGATCAAATGCTCGCAGATGAGAAATGGCCAAGCTAATGTCTTTAGAAGACCATTTCAAGCTTTAGGCTGGGGAGAGGGGCTTAAAAAGGGGAACTTTGAATGGGAGGCATACAGGAGTGGTGCTGGGTACAAGGTATGTGTGTCTTGCTCCGAAGGCTGTCTTGAGTCACGGGCCACCTGGAGCATGGGCTGGTGTCAAGTCAACAATGGCCACGTTGTAGATTGATCGCCTTGAGGTGATCTCTGGAGTTTTGCAGCTGGGTTTCCATACCTAGTTTGTTTCAAGATTAGCCCCTGCGGCGAGGCGCGGTGGCTTACGCCTGTAATCCCAACAGTTTGGGAGGCCAAGGTGGGTCGCTCACTTGAGGTCAAGAGTTCAAGACCAGCCTGGCTTACATAGTGAAACCTTGACTCTACAAAAAAAAAAAAAAAAAATTAGCTGGGCATGGTGGCAGGTGCCTGTAGTCCCAGCTACTCAGGAGGCTGAGGCAGGAGAATCGCTTGAACCCAGGAGGTGGAGGTTGCAAGTGAGCCAAGACTGCGCCACTGCACTCCAACCTGGGTGTCAGAGCCAGACTCCATCTTTAAAAAATAAATAAATAAAGATTAGCCCCTGGAACTTCTAAGTAAGCACATAGATAAGCCAGCAGTGCAAGACAGTATCTAGTGGGAAAGGAGGGAAACAAAGAATTTCAAAGTATGTTTTCAAGGCTAAAGGCAAGAAAGGAATAAGAAAGTTTGCAAATGCATTTGGAATCTACACCACTTGGTTCCAGTAAGTCTTAGCAAGGTGGCGGTCATAGGGGTGTGCTGCGTCTTGCACAGGTCGGAGCTGGAGACTCGCCAGTGAACAAAACAAACTAAAGCACCTGTTGTCGTGGAGCCTGCATGCTAGTGGGGTTGATAAAGAAGGACCAGGGTCTTCTGGGGGAGAATCATCGCTCAGTAATAAGGAGGGACTTTGTCGGGGCAAGTTTTTAGGGAACGCTGCTGTCCCTCCCCAGGCCTCGGGATGTCTCTGGCAGATGAGCTCTTAGCTGATCTCGAAGAGGCAGCAGAAGAGGAGGAAGGAGGAAGCTATGGGGAGGAAGAAGAGGAGCCAGCGATCGAGGATGTGCAGGAGGAGACACAGCTGGATCTTTCCGGGGATTCAGTCAAGACCATCGCCAAGCTATGGGATAGTAAGATGGTAAGAGGACAAGAGGTGTTCCTAGCAGGGGGCTCTAGACAGAATCTCCCAGAAGGGGGTGATACAGGCTTCTTTTTGAAGAGTGCTGGATTCTGACTGTCTTCTCCTTTCCTACAGTTTGCTGAGATTATGATGAAGATTGAGGAGTATATCAGCAAGCAAGCCAAAGCTTCAGAAGGTGCTTCCTCCCACTCTGTGCCCCTCCCCATCTCCTGTCTCTCCTGCCAGGCCCCCTGGCTCCCTGGCTGCTTGTGGCTGGGTATATCTCCTTCTCAGCCTTTTCCAGAGCCTTCTTTTTTTTTTGTTTCACCCCAACCCGTTCCCTTTTCCACTAAATATATATTGCATTGTAAAGCTCATGCTTCTTAAGTCCTTCCTGTGTGCTGAGCTTACTGATCATGATAGGACTCAGCTTGAGGTTTCCCAGACTTCACTGATTCACATGACCGGTTACAGGGTTTTTGCCACATCTATAAGCCGCTTATCCTATTATTTGCTTAACATATTCTTTGAGTCTAGGACTTTTTTTCTTAAATTTATCTGAGAAGGAAGCAAATTGCTACCATGAATGGAAAACTGGTATCATTTGGCAAAGACAAAGTCACTGTATAAAAATAGATATATAATTATTTAGGAACCACCTAAGGCCGGGCGCCGTGGCTCACGCCTGTAATCCCAGCACTTTGGGAGGCGGAGGCAGGTGGATCATGAGTTCAGGAGATCGAGACCATCCTGGCTAACACGGTGACACCCCGTCTCTACTAAAAATACAAAAAATTAGCCAGGCGTGGTGGCGGGTGCCTGTAGTCCCAGCTACTCAGGAGGCTGAGGCGGGAGAATGGCGTGAACCTGGGAGGCGGAGCTTGCAGTGAGCCGAGATCGTGCCACTGCACTCCAGCCTGGGCGACAGAGCAAGACTCCGTCTCAAAAAAAAAAAAAATAACCTAAAACCTTTTCTCATGCCCAAATTGAGAGAACACTAGCTTATCTCATGAGTGCTCAGACTCACTCTTAAGAGGGCAGTCCTGTTACCATTCCTATTCTTTTTTTTTTTTCCTTGAGATAGAGTCTCCCTCTGTCGCCCAGGCTGGAGTGCAGTGATGTGTTCTTGGCTCATTGCAACCTCCACCTCCCGGGTTCAAGCGATTCTCCTCCCTCAGCCTTATGTATAGCTGGGATTACAGGTATGCAACACCATGCCTGGCTATTTTGTATTTTTTAGTAGAGATGGGGTTTCACCATGTTGACCAGGCTAGTCTCGAACTCCTGACCTCAAGTAATCCGCCCACCTCGGCCTCCCAAAGTGCTGGGATTACAGGCATGAGCCACTACGCCCAGCCTTCCCATTCTTCTTGAATGGAATTTGTTGATGACAGGAAGCCATAGGAGGTTTCTGGGGAAAGAAGTGTAGTGAGAGGGCAGAGTTTCGGGAGACTCACTGCTTGCTTTCTTTAACGTTTACCTGGGCACCCAGTTGAATCGCCCAGGTCTTTGCTCTCAAAGTACTCAAGGTCTAGTGGAAGAGGCAGGCCAGGTTCCAGACAGCTATCAGTGGTGGTACCAAGCTGGGGACACCGGAGCCACAGGAGGGACTGGCTGACCCTGCCCCAGGTGTCAGGAAGAATCGATAGCTGAATTGGACTGTAGAGCATGAATGCATGTGCCAGGCAAAGAAAGGGAGAAGGGGGCCCAGGGAAAGACAGCGGCAGGCCCGGGGCCTCAGATATCCGGAGAGAGAATCCTGCAGAGTTCCAGATGCCAGGCCAAGGAATTTCTCCCTCCAGAGGGTTATGGGACACAGAAAGTGACATTTCCTGATGTCAGGCCAGGCTCAGGGATGGAGTCAGACCCCGTCACACCCGGTGTCTGGTTGAGGAGGCAGAGGTGAAACATCTCACAAGCTGTGGCAGTCCCTGTTTACTGGAGGTGCACAAGTGCTGCGGGTACACAGAGGAGGCGTCTGATCCTTCCAGAAAGGGAGGGAAGGATTCTGAGTCGCTGCCTGAGTCTTAAGGACTTAAAGAGCCATTTGAGCATCAGGGTTAGGAGTGCAGACTCTGACGCCGCCCTGCCTGGTGTCAGATCTGAGCTCTGCCTTCTACTGGCTGTGACATCAGGCAGTTAGTATTTGCATGACTTTTAAACACAACATCTTTTTGTTTGTTTGTTTTTTGAGACAGGGTCTCACTCTGTCACCCAGGCCAGAATGCAGTGGCACGATCCCAGCTCACTGCAGCCTTGACCTTGTGGGCTCAGGCGTTCCTGCCTCAGCCTCCCAGGCAGCTGGGACCACAGGTGTACACCACCATGCCTGGCTAATTTTTTTTCTTTAATTATGTGTAGAGATGGGGTCTCCCTATGTCGCCCAGGTTGCTCTCCAACTCCTGGGCTCAAGCAGTTCTCCTGCCTCAGCCTCCCAAAGTGCTGGGATTACAGGTATGAGCCACTGTGCCTGACCTCTTATTACTAAAGCACAAAGAAGCGTTTTCCAGAAACAGACGTGGGGTAAGGGATGCTCTGGGGAGAGGGAGCAGCACATGCAGAGGCCAGGAGGGGTCTGGCGCGGTGGCTCACGCCTGTCATCCCAGCACTTTGGGTGGTCAAGGCAGATGGATCACCTGAGGTCGGGAGTTCGAGACCAGCCTGCCCAACATGGTGAAACCCCGTCTCTACTAAAAATACAAACAAACAAAAAAAATTAGCCGGGCGTGGTGGCACATGCCTGTAATCCCAGCTACTCAGGAGGCTGAGGCAGGAGAATCGCTTGAACCCAGGAGGCGGAGGTTGCAGTGAGCTGAGATCATGCCACTATACTCTAGCCTGGGCAACCAGAGCGAAATTATGTCTCAAAAAAAAAAAAAAAGGCTAGGAGGAGTGGGTGTCTGGGGCACTGTGATCACTCCTTTATGGCTGGAGTGGAATAAAATGAGGTGTGGTGAGAGGATGGGGCGGGAAGGGCGGGAGGCCAGACTGCAGAGCTGCTGAGTCAGCAAACAGGAACGGGGGAACTCCCTGTGTGCCAGGTGCTGTCCTGGGTACTCGGCTGTGGGTACAGCCAACGCAGGCACAGCACTGGTCCCTGCAGAGCTTCCGGAGTTGGGGAGGCCCTGAATGTCAGTCTGAGGACTCGGTCATTAGCCTTGGGGCTGTGGGGAGCCGTAGGAGGTTTCACACGGTCAGTTCTGGGGTAGATGGGGTCAAGTCTAGACTGGTGTGGAGGGAGAGGGATTGAAGGCAGGAACACAAGTTCAGGGATGTCTGCAGACATCAGCCTGTCCCTGGTTTACTCTTCAGCCCCTCCTTCCTGACCCCTCCCAACTTCATCCTCCGCCTCCTCCAGCTGCGGGACCCGAGAGGGGGTAGGGATTTAGATACTCACACCCATGCCTCCGTGTCCTCACAGTGATGGGACCAGTGGAGGCCGCGCCTGAATACCGCGTCATCGTGGATGCCAACAACCTGACCGTGGAGATCGAAAACGAGCTGAGTGAGTGCTGGGGGGCAGGCGGAGACAGCCCCGTGTGACGTCCCTCACGCCCCCTCTCCCTTCCCCACTGGCCTTTCCCAGGGTCCTGCCCCTAAGCCCAAGCTCAGATCGAGGTTGACCTGCTGTCACAGAGTGGCTGAAATAAGAAGGAAGTGCGTTCTCTCGCGTATGAGTCTGAGGAGCACTCGGGGATGGTGTGGCCGCTTGGCTGCCTGTAGGGCCCCGGCTCTTTCCATCCTGTTGGTCGGCCACCTGCCTCACGGTGCGAGGTGACTGCCCCACCTCCAGCCATCACCTCCGCATTCCCACCAGCAAGGCGCTTCTTTTCTTTAAGAACATGTCACTGCAGCTCACGTTTTACAGACCAGAACTAATTCCCCTGGTCACACCTAGCGGTAAGGACGGCTGAGAAAGGCTGTATGCTGGTGCCCGTGTGCCAGGCCACAAGCCAGGGCTTCAGTTACTAAAGGAAGAAGGGGACATGGGTGTTAGGGCCAACCAGCAGAGTCTACCTTCCATCTCACCCGACAACCTCCTGTCCCGTTTACCCTAGACATCATCCATAAGTTCATCCGGGATAAGTACTCAAAGAGATTCCCTGAACTGGAGTCCTTGGTCCCCAATGCACTGGATTACATCCGCACGGTCAAGGTGAGCGCAGAGAAGGTGGGGTGCTTCTGCTGGCGTGAAGGGGCAGGCGGGGCTCACTCTCGGACCCCCTCCCAGAGGCCTCAGGGTCTGGAGACGATGGAGAGGAGTGGACGAGGGCTCAGTGGTCTGCTCTGCCCAGCGTGGGAGGGACGGAGCCTGGACAGGACTTTCTCAGGGCTCCCCTCCAACCCCAGTCTCCCGAGAGGGCTTCCCCGCTGGCCTGACCCACGCTGCTCCCGCTGTGGTTGGAGCCGGTGGCATTGGAGTTGACATCCGAAGGTTGACACAGGGCAGGCACACGGAGATTTGGGGCAGAGAGACGTCTAAGTGCAGAGAGCTGGAGAGGGAACAAGTGGGGAGGAAGTGAGGCGGGGAAGGAGGGGACGGGGAAGAGGTCGGATCACGTCCAGCCTTTGGGTCTTAGGAGAAAGCCAAGGAAGGGTTTCGGAAAAGAGGGGCAGGTGTGCGTGAGGGCGGGGAGAGGAGGAGGTCCCCACGCATGTCCAGGAAAGGATTAGGATGGCGGTGGGGAAGCCCCTGCAGGGAAGCGAGGCCGCGGATTTGCACTCCGACTTGACGCAGGCCAGAGGCTTGTGAGGCCACAGTCTTTCCAGACGCCACTCTGCCCGGGCTCCGTTTCCAGGTCAGCGAAAGCAGGGCAGATGGTGTGGATGCTTGACGTGGTGGAGGCAGGAATGGTGTGGATGCTTCAGGCGGTGGAGGCAGGAGAGGCCCCCAGTGCAGAGACCCTGACTGTCCCAGTGTCCCTAAGAAGAGACCTGAGGAGGTGCTGAGCAAGAGAGGTTCTCGAGCCTTCCTGAGTTCCCGAGCCTCCCCTATCTTCTCTGCTCGCCCCCAGGAGCTGGGCAACAGCCTGGACAAGTGCAAGAACAATGAGAACCTGCAGCAGATCCTCACCAATGCCACCATCATGGTCGTCAGCGTCACCGCCTCCACCACCCAGGGGTATGTCCGCTTCGAGGGAGGCGCCGGGCCCTAATGGGATTGGGGATTAGGCTGGAGCTACACACGCAGGTGTACACACGCACACACACATACACACATGCACACACACACACAGAACCGAGAGGGCTGGGGCTGGGCACACCAGGCAGGCGGGAGATCCAGGAGGCTGGGCCCACCCGCCCCTGCAGGCAGCAGCTGTCGGAGGAGGAGCTGGAGCGGCTGGAGGAGGCCTGCGACATGGCGCTGGAGCTGAACGCCTCCAAGCACCGCATCTACGAGTATGTGGAGTCCCGGATGTCCTTCATCGCACCCAACCTGTCCATCATTATCGGGGCATCCACGGCCGCCAAGATCATGGGTGAGTCCCCGGGCTGGGTCCCATGGAGCGGGGGTCTGCTGACACTGTGACCTTGGGAAAGCTACATCCTTTTCTGTAGAATGGGGGCTTTGGCACCTGGACCTCAGCACCCCGTCTCCCTGGACATCACAGAGGTCAGCCAGCCTGGCACACAGCAAAGCCTCGTCTGTGGGAAAAACACTCACCCACAGCTCCTTCTCCCTCCCCTGTGCCGGAAACCCAGAGATGACCACACCCAGGCCCTGTTGTCAGGGAGCTCCTGGTTTGGTGAAAATGGTTCCAAAACACAGCCATCCCTGGAACGGCGTTAGTGTGGCTTAGCACAAACGTGGTGGTCAGCTTCCTGTTGGGGGCCTCCTCCCTGCACCCCCAGGCCAGCTGCCCTCCCTCTCTGAGCCTCCTTTGCATCTGCCCCTTGCGGAATGGGCCAGGTCGCCCGCCTGGCAGGGCCATCGAGGAATCCAACCAGAACTTCATGTAAAGGTGCCCAGCACACGTCGAGCCCCCAGGCAGATTTACTCACCCCCACCTCTCTGCTTTCTTCTGACCGCCCCCCCTTCCTCCCTCCCTCCCACCGCAGGTGTGGCCGGCGGCCTGACCAACCTCTCCAAGATGCCCGCCTGCAACATCATGCTGCTCGGGGCCCAGCGCAAGACGCTGTCGGGCTTCTCGTCTACCTCAGTGCTGCCCCACACCGGCTACATCTACCACAGTGACATCGTGCAGTCCCTGCCACCGGTGAGCCCACTGCGTCATGGCCCCTCCCCCGGCCCCCCTGGAGCCTTCCGCTGTGCCCAGACAGCCTGAGCAGCCACCCACCATCTGGCCCAGCTGACGGTAGCACTCAGGAGCTGGGAACAGGGTGGCATGGGACGTGAGAGCCAGGGCTCTGCAGCAGACCAGCTCCAGCACCCACCAGTCAGGTGACTGTGGGCAAGAGGCATGAGCGCCCTGTGCCTCAGTCTCCTCCCCTATCAAATGGGAGCACAGCGCCTGCTTCATGAGTTGGGACGAGGGCTCAGTGCACATGAAGCACTTACAGTTCAGGCCTAGCTCACGACAAGCAGCGTCGGGTTAGCGTGCAACTGCTCCGAAGACCACCCTCAGGTTTGACCATTCACTAGAAAGACTCACAGAATCCACTGAGGGCTGCACATCAGCCATGGGGAGAGACACACAGGAGGGGCAGGAGAGGTCACCAACCTCGGAGCTTCCCGGGTCCTCTCCCTGCAGTCGGGACACATCACCATCCCAGCATCGACGCCTGACAGCACACACACAGGCCCGCTAGCCTGGCGGGGCGCAGTGGCTCGTGCCTGTCATCCCAGCACTTTGGGAGGCCGAGGCGGGCAGATCACCTGAGGTCAGGTGTTCGAGACCAGCCTGGCCAACATGGTGAAACCCCATCTCTACCAAAAATACAAAAAACTAGCTGGGTATAGTGGCACACACTTATAATCCCAGCTACTTGGGAGGCTGAGGCAGGAGAATCGCTTGAACCCAGGAGGTGGAGGTTGCAGTGAGCTAAGATCATACCACTGCCCTCCAGCCTGGGTGACAGAGTGAGACTCTGTCTCAAAAAAAAAAAAAAACAAGACAGGTTCTGGGACAGACAGGCCTGGGTCCAGACCCTGCTCTGTCCGACTGTGGCGAGTTACCTCAGGCTCACGGCCCTGTGCCCTGCCTGGCCTCCCCCAGGGATGGGGAGAACAATAGCACTGATGGCCAAGGCTGGGCAGGCACTTCCTGGCCCCACCCCCCAGCCCTGTGTGGGGTTTTTTTTGTGGTCTTTTCTGCGACCCTTTAGGTCAGGCACTGCTACTGGAACACACCCAGGGAGGCTGGCAGGTCACCCCATCCTGGGAGGAGAGAGAGTGGGCGATAGAACCCAGGACGGGTGGGCCTGGGGCTCGGGGCTCCAGCTGCCTCACTGCACCCCTGCCATCGCCACCGCCTCACAGCCCTGGGCATATGGGTTAAACCTGCCCCAGGGAGCCTGATGTCTTGTCACCCAGGCCTCTGCCTCTTCATTTGGCCATCTCACATCGGTCCAGGCACAGGCCGTAGACACCACAGGCCTGTAAGGGAGGCCAGGGCTGGCCATCGCTTCACTGTGGCTGACAGCTGGGCTCTGTTTGCAGTTTGGATTGGAACCCTGGCTCCATCACCTGCTGGCTGTCTCCCTGGCCACATGACTTGAAGCCTTGGTTTCCACATCTGAAAAGGGGGTGCAATGATCACACCAGCCCAATATTTGAATATTTGATGAGATGATCCGAGGGGCGTGCTTAGCATGGGGCTGGCATCCAGGCCGAGTGCACTCCCCCCGGCGTCTCCACAGTCACCACCGTCCTCGTTGTCAGCGTGCCTTACTGTCATCCTTACCTGATGGCCACTTATCAGCTGGGACATGGCTCTGTGCCCTGCCCTCATCCCCTCTTCCTGTGAAGTAGGAGCTGAGAGCACACACCTCTAGAGCCCAAGGGTGGAAAGCCCCCTTCCAGGACCCCAGGTAGAGCCAGAGGAGGAGCGCGCGCGGTTGCTTTGCTGTTACCTCTGTCTGTCTGTCTCACACAGATTCCACCCCCGTTTTCCGTTGCTCCAGGATCTGCGGCGGAAAGCGGCCCGGCTGGTGGCCGCCAAGTGCACACTGGCAGCCCGTGTGGACAGTTTCCACGAGAGCACAGAAGGGAAGGTGAGGAGGGAAAGGTGAGGGGCGGCCGGGCGTCTTTTCCTCTGGGCCTGGGGTGTCTCTGCAGGGAGACCCTCAGCAGGGAGCCCACCCCAGCGAGCACTGTCCTACCAAGGCGGAGGCAGTGCTTCTGCCCACCCTCCCTGGGGTCAGGCACCCCCTTCCCCAGTGGGGTTTCCTAGGTCTGCTGTTGGAAGGTAGCATGAACCTACTGGCTTCAAACAGTGCAGGTGTGGCCGGGTGCAGTAGCTCACGCCTGTAATCCCAGCACTTTGGGAGGCCAGGGTGGGCGGGTCACAAGGTCAGGAGTTTGAGACCAGCCTGGCCAACATGGTGAAACCCCATCTCTACCAAAATTAGCCGGGTGTGGTGGCACGCACCTGTAATCCCAGTTACTCAGGAGGCTGAGGCAGGAGAATTGCTTGAACCTGGGAGACGGAGGTTGCAGTGAACTGAGATTGCATCATTGCACTCCAGCTTGGGTGACATAGCGAGACTCCATCTAAAAACAAAAACAAAAAACAGTACAGGTTTATTATCTGTGGTCCTGTAGGTCAGAAGTCCAAAATGAGTTTCACTGGGCTGAAGTCAGGGTGTCATCCTGGAGCGTTCCTTCTGGGGGATTCAAGGGATAATCCATTCCCTTGTCTTTTCCAGCTTCTAGGGGTCACTGGCACCCCTTAGCTCGTGGCCCTCCCTCTGTCTGCGGAGCCAGCCACATAGCACCCTCAGACCTCTCTCTGACTCTGCTTCTGTCTTCATATCTCGGCCTCTGTTTTTGTTCCCCTCTTCTATTTTAAGGGCCCCTGTGGCTATACTGAGCCTACTCAGATGGTCCAGGATAGTCTTCCCAGCTCACAATCCTTAAAATCCTTCTTAACCTCTTCACGTCCCTTTTGCCCTGTGATTCTGGGAATTAGAACATGGGCCTCTTTGGGCATGTGTGTGTTGGTGGGGGCGTAATTTGCCTTCCACACCAGGATCTGTCCCCGCTGCAACAGGGGATGTTATTCAAGTAATTATTCAGTTACCTTCTGTCTTCCTTGGTAGATGTACTCGGGAGAGGAGACGTTTTCTGTCTTGTGAACTGTCGTTTGCCAAGCACCCGGCCTGGCACAGCGTTCAGGTGTTCCGTGTCCCCTTCTCCTTTCCCTCTCCCCATCTCACCCCTGGTCTGGGTGTGGGGGTGCAGCTGTGAGTAGCACAGACAGGACCCCTGCCCCGTGGCGTGGACATTCTTGTTGGGGCCGGGTCAAAGAGACAGTCAACAGGTGAACTCTGTCCTGCGTCTAGCGGTGCTAAGTCAACACCAAGAAGAAAAAGAAAGGGGGTGGCGGTGAGGCAGCATTAGGTGCTGATTTAACTAAGGCACGTGGATACTCGGGGGGTCCGCTCAGAGGAGGCCTGGGTGGGCAGCCCACGCGAGCAGCTGCAGGACCTCCCCCTCGCCCTCCCCAGGTGGGCTACGAACTGAAGGATGAGATCGAGCGCAAATTCGACAAGTGGCAGGAGCCGCCGCCTGTGAAGCAGGTGAAGCCGCTGCCTGCGCCCCTGGATGGACAGCGGAAGAAGCGAGGCGGCCGCAGGTGAGGGGCCCTGGGGGTCCGGTAGGCATGGGGGTCATGGAGGGGAGAAGCCGGCGTCCTCCTCCCAGCCGACTCCCTGGCGCCGCCCACCCACCCGTCCCCAGGTACCGCAAGATGAAGGAGCGGCTGGGGCTGACGGAGATCCGGAAGCAGGCCAACCGTATGAGCTTCGGAGAGGTCAGACTCCCAGAGCGCCCTCCTCAACCCCACAGCCAGCCAGCCGCCACCGCCCTCTGCCTCCTGCCACCGCCCCTCCTCTCGTCCTGTGGCCCTGGCTCATGTCTAGGGCGCTGCCCCAGCCTCCTCCCCCCCGGCCTCTATTCTCGTTTCCATCCATTCAGCCCCAAAGCGACCCTCGCGGCCCTTGGAGCCTGTGTCTCCGCTGCTTAGAGCCCCCGCGGCTTCCCATCGCCCCGGGCTCCTTGGCCGGTTCCTCCCTGCCCAGAGGCTCCTTAGTGCCCTGCTGCACGGCCGCCCCGTCCCTGGGCCCCGCCAGTCTCCTCTGTTATCCCAGCGTCATCCCCTTGGTCCTGCAGGACCGAACTCAGAGGCCACCTCATCCTATTAAACCTGTTCTGGTTCCTGACATCCCCCGACCCACACGAGTAAGGAAGGAATGGCCTCCCAACTCTGAGCTCACAGAGCAGTGCTGGGACCGGGCCCCTCTCAGGCTCCCCGGCATCCCCCGCGTGTGTGGGCCCCCAGGCCTCAGCCGGGCCGAGTGGGTACCGGAGCAGGTGCCCGTGGGACCGGCCGGCTGGTGACCGCTGGGCTTCCGGCTGGTGGAGGGGGTGCCTCGGTGGCTGGAGGGCAGGGCCTGGTCGCTGAACTGCAGGGCGCCTCCTCTTCCCCCTAGATCGAGGAGGACGCCTACCAGGAGGACCTGGGATTCAGCCTGGGCCACCTGGGCAAGTCGGGCAGTGGGCGTGTGCGGCAGACACAGGTAAACGAGGCCACCAAGGCCAGGATCTCCAAGACGCTGCAGGTATGGGCCAGACCCAGGTGGGGCTGGGGACCGAGGGACACAAGGTGGGGGGAGCCCAGATCGCAGCCTCCCTGTCCTCCCCACAGCGGACCCTGCAGAAGCAGAGCGTCGTATATGGCGGGAAGTCCACCATCCGCGACCGCTCCTCGGGCACGGCCTCCAGCGTGGCCTTCACCCCACTCCAGGTACCTCCCCTGGGCCGGCTCTGTCCCCAGCCCTGAGACCTTGGCAAGGCCCCTTGCCCTCTGCCCCTGTGAAGAAGGCCAGGATGAGTCTCCTCATGGGGCTGTTGTGGAGGGTGTGGTGACGAGGTATGCAGAGGACGTAGACAGCTCCTGGCACACAGGAAGAGGTTAGCAGAGACGAGAGCCCAGCGCTGAGCAGTCCTCGTGAGCACGCACTGCTTTAGAACCAGGCCCACAGCTGTGTTCAGGGCACCCAGTTCCTCTGTCGGGCTGTGAGCGGGTAACACTGCTCAGCCTCCAGGCCCTCCAGTTCAAAACGGCCAGGACGGTTAAGGTAACCTCAGGACCCCACTCGAGAAAGTTCCCGGCTAGGCGGGCTTGGATGTCAAGTGTGGGTCCAGGCCCCAGCCAGTCAGCAGTGAGCAGCGTGGAGCATGGCAGTCACCGCATCGTCGGAGCCTCGGTTTACCATCCACAGAGCAGGGCGAGCCTGCACCACGGAGGCGAGACAGCAGCGAGCTCATCTGCCCAGTCAGCGGGTGTCTACGCAGCACCTGCTGAGTTCTGTCAGTGTTCCCGGCTCTGGGGATGAAGCAACGAATGAGAGACAAGTCTTACCTTCTTGGAGCCAGTGGGTGGCCGGGCGCAGACAGCTCAGTAAGATGTCCAGTGTAGGAGAAGGCAGAAATGCCAGGCCGGGCGCAGACAGCTCAGTAAGATGTCCAGTGTAGGAGAAGGCAGAAATGCCAGGCTGGGCGCAGACAGCTCAGTAAGATGTCCAGTGTAGGAGAAGGCAGAAATGCCAGGCCGGGCGCAGACAGCTCAGTAAGATGTCCAGTGTAGGAGAAGGCAGAAATGCCAGGCCGGGCGCAGACAGCTCAGTAAGATGTCCAGTGTAGGAGAAGGCAGAAATGCCAGGCCGGGCGCAGACAGCTCAGTAAGATGTCCAGTGTAGGAGAAGGCAGAAATGCCAGGCTGGGCGCAGACAGCTCAGTAAGATGCCCAGTGTAGTAGAAGGCAGAAATGCCAGGCCGGGCGCGGTGGCTCACGCCTGTAATCCCAGCACTTTGGGAGGCCGAGGCAGGTGGATCATGAGGTCAGGAGATCGAGACCATCCTGGCTAACACGGTGAAACCCCGTCT
Source organism: Homo sapiens (assembly GCF_000001405.40). Classification (NCBI taxonomy): domain Eukaryota; kingdom Metazoa; phylum Chordata; class Mammalia; order Primates; family Hominidae; genus Homo; species Homo sapiens. The sequence continues at coordinate 105,001 of NW_003571056.2, forward strand.
CTACTAAAAATACAAAAACTTAGCCGGGCGTGGTGGCGGGCGCCTGTAGTCCCAGCTACTTGGGAGGCTGAGGCAGGAGAATGGCGTGAACCCGGGAGGCGGAGCTTGCAGTGAGCCGAGATCGCGCCACTGCACTTCAGCCTGGGCGACAGAGCCAGACTCTGTCTCAAAAAAAAAAAAAAGAAGGCAGAAATGCCAGGGAGGGGAGGAGGTGGAAGGTAGGAGGTGGGACAGGGGAGGCTCTCGTTTCGGAGCAGCCAGGGAGGGCCTCTTTGAGAAGATGAGGCCAGTGGCTGTGCCTTTCCAAGCCTCCCCTCCTCCATCATGAGGTGCTCAGGACTGAAAAGAACGCACAGGAAGCACTTGGCACTGGGCTCACCATTAGAGCCCAATGACTGGGTCCTGTTATTATTTTTAGAGACGGGGGCTCGCTCTGTTGCCTTGAAAATATTTAGGAAGTGCCAGCCAGGTGTTGGCTCCCATTGCTGCCACTATGATCGTCAGTGGTGTTGGTGTGATTTGTGCTAGGACCTCGGGCCAGCCATGTCCCCCAGGGACTCAGTTTCCTTATGCAGAAACTGGGCAGGATTGGCTGTCCTCAAGCATTGGTTGTTTTTAGCACCCCTGAGGAACTTCGTACAAATCCAGGCGCCCTGGTTCCTCCCCACCCTCTCCCTCTAGACCCACTGAGTCAGAATCTCCCAAGACAGGGCAACTCCAGGGACAGGCAAACTGTCTCATGCCCACCAAGGCCTGAGTGCCATGGGGAAGGGCCTGGGGGGCTCTGATGGGTCACAGTTGGGGCCTTCTCCTCACCTAACCCATCATCCTCTCTCCCTCACCTGCCCAGGGCCTGGAGATTGTGAACCCACAGGCGGCAGAGAAGAAGGTGGCTGAGGCCAACCAGAAGTATTTCTCCAGCATGGCTGAGTTCCTCAAGGTCAAGGGCGAGAAGAGTGGCCTTATGTCCACCTGAATGACTGCGTGTGTCCAAGGTGGCTTCCCACTGAAGGGACACAGAGGTCCAGTCCTTCTGAAGGGCTAGGATCGGGTTCTGGCAGGGAGAACCTGCCCTGCCACTGGCCCCATTGCTGGGACTGCCCAGGGAGGAGGCCTTGGAAGAGTCCGGCCTGGCCTCCCCCAGGACCGAGATCACCGCCCAGTATGGGCTAGAGCAGGTCTTCATCATGCCTTGTCTTTTTTAACTGAGAAAGGAGATTTTTTGAAAAGAGTACAATTAAAAGGACATTGTCAAGATCTGTCCTTGGGGAGTGATCATTTTTCAAACAGCCGGGGCAACTAGAAGAATCAGAGCTGTGGAGCTTTGAGAAAAGAGCTTGGCCCTCGGGTCCAAGCGGTGTCTAGGCCCACTCCCTTCCCCGTTACTTTCTCGTCATGGGATCCCAGAAGGAAAAAGCCCTCTCCAACCCCCTGGAGAGCCGCAGTCACTTTGATAGCAAATGATGTGGCTGCCAACAGCCGCAGATCTCAGCGCAGGCCGACCGGGATTGCTGTCCACCTCAGGCCAGCCTCCTCACCTTTCCAAGCCTCCACACCTACGCCCAGGTGCCCAGGACTGGAAAGAATGCACAGAAAGCACTTAGCATGGGACTTGCCATCAGCGCCCTATAACCAGGTCCTGTTATGATTGGGTTTTTTAGAGACGGGGTCTCTGTTGCCCAGGTTGGAGTACAGTGATGCGATGAAGCTCACTAAAGCCTCAAACTCCTGGGCTGGGATTACAGGCATGAACCAGCACAGCTGGCCTCCTGGTTAATTTAAATTTTTTTTTTTTTTCTGAGGTGGAGTCTCGCTCTGTTGCCCAGGCTAGAGTACAGTGGTGCAATCTTGGCTCACTGCAACCTCTACCTCCCGGGTTCAAGCAATTCTCCTGCCTCAGCCTCCTGAGTAGCTGGGATTACAGGCATGTGCCACCATGTCCCGCTAATTTTTATAGTTTTTAGTAGAGACAGGGTTTCGCCATGTTGGTCAGGCTGTTCTCGAACTCCTGACCTCATGATATGCCCACCTCAGCCTCCCAAAGTGCCAGGATTACAGGTGTGAGCCACCACCCCAGCCCCATTTTTAAATTGTTTATAGACAGGGTCGTGCTCTATTACCCAGGCTGGGCTTGAACTCCTGTGCTCAAGTGAGCTTTCCACCTCAGCCTCCCTAAGTGTTGAGATTACAGGCTTGAGCCGCTGTGTCTGGCCTCTTATTATTATTATTATTTTTTTTTTTGAGACAGAATCTCACTCTGTTGCCCAGGCTGGAGTGCAGTGGGATGATCCTGGCTCATGGCAACCTCCACCTCCCGGGTCCAGGTGATTCTCCTGCCTCAGTCTCCTGAGTAGCTGGGATTACAGGCGCCCATGGGTTTTGTTTGTTTGTTTGTTTGTTTGTTTGTTTTTCAGACGGAGTCTTGCTCTGTCACCCAGGCTGGAGTGCAATGACATGGTCTTGGCTCACTGCAAACTCCGCCTCCCAGGTTGAAGTGATTCTCCTGCCTCAGCCTCCCGAATAGCTGGGATTACAGGCGCCCGCCACCACGCCTGGCTAATTTTGTATTTTTAGCAGAGACGGGGTTTCACCATTTGGGCCAGGCTGGTCTTGAATTGCTGACCTTGTGATCTGCCCGCCTCGGCCTCCCAAAGTGCTGGGATTACAGGTGTGACCCACCGCGCCCGGCCGAGATGGGGTTTTACCATGTTGGCCAGGCTGGTCTCGAACTCCTGACCTCAAATAATCCGCCTGCCTCGTCTCCCAAAGTGCTGGGATTACCCTGTGCCTGGCCCAGCCTCTTATTTATAACCAGTGTTGAGGGACTGTGTGGAGCCGGGCACAGGCGAAGCAGGCAGGCTTCCTGCCCTGGTAGGACCTGGTTGCTATAAAAGTCCTGCCAGGTGAGCAGAAGGAGCACACTTCCCCTCCCCTGACCTCCAGTCACTGAGTCTCGGGAACCGGGGCTCGGCCAGGAGCGCCTTTACTTGGACTGAGGGGAATGTGGCCTGCAGACAGTCAGGAGAGTTTCCAGGGGACAGCAGGGGCTGTCCTAGCGGGTGGCATGAAACCGTCTCCCTGGAGAGGTTAAGGAAGAGCAACTCCAGGGGTTCCATTTACTATGTGCTCCGGAGCTGGGCTACACGGTGGTACTAAGGAGGCAGCGCTAGTCACCTGACCTACAAGGTCGGGCTTCTGTTAGTTACCTAAGAGATGTTACCAGGACAAGCAGCAGCCTGGTGGGAAGATGATGCCTCCAGGTCTCTACCTCCTCTCTCTCTCCCTCCTTCTCTCCACCTCCCCTCTCTCTCCCTCCCTCTCTCCACCTCCCCTCTCTCTCTTCCTCCCTCTCCACCTCCCCTCTCTCTCCCTCCCTCTCTCCACCTCCCCTCTCTCTCCCTCCCTCTCTCCACCTCCCCTCTCTCTCTCCCTCCCTCTCTCCACCTCCCCTGTCTCCACCTCCCCTCCCTCTGTCCCTCCCTCTCTCCACCTCCCCTCCCTCTGTCCCTCCCTCTCTCCACCTCCCCTCTCTCTCCCTCCCTCTCTCCACCTCCCCTCTCTCTCTTCCTCCCTCTCCACCTCCCCTCTCTCTCTTCCTCCCTCTCCACCTCCCCTCTCTCCCTCCCTCTCTCCACCTCCCCTGTCTCCACCTCCCCTCCCTCTGTCCCTCCCTCTCTCCACCTCCCCTCTCTCTGTCCCTCCCTCTCTCCACCTCCCCTCTCTCTGTCCCTCCCTCTCTCCACCTCCCCTCTCTCTCCCTCCCTCTCTCCACCTCCCCTCTCTCTCCCTCCCTCTCTCCACCTCCCCTCTCTCTGTCCCTCCCTCTCTCCACCTCCCCTCTCTCTCTCCCTCCCTCTCCACCTCCCCTCTCTCCACCTCCCCTCACTCCACCTTCCCTCTCTCTCCCTCTCTCTCCTCCCCTCTCCCTCCCTCCACCTCCCCTCCCTCTCTCCACCTCCCCTCCCTCTCTCCCTCCCTCCCTCCCTCTCTCCACCTTCCCTCTCCCTCCCTCCACCTTCCCTCTCCCTCCCTCCACCTTCCCTCTCCCTCCCTCTCCACCTTCCCTCTCTCCTCCCCTCTCCCTCCCTCTCTCCACCTCCCCTCTCTCCCTCCCTCCCTCCCTCTCTCCACCTTCCCTCTCTCCCTCCCTCTCTCCACCTTCCCTCTCTCTCTCTCCCTCCCTCTCTCCAGCTCATGCTATCTGGGTCTCCCTCTGACTTTCTAGGTCCTGTCTGAGATTTTGCTCTTTCTGTTCCCCTCTCTGGGCCTCCCCGTCACCACTCTGTGTATCTCTGGATCCCTGTCCTTCAACCCAGAGCTCTGTCTCTGGACCTCAGTGGCAATCTCTAAATCTCTCTCCTTCCTCAAGTCAAAAAGTCGACACACTCAGGAGGTTCCCTTGAGTGGCTGAACTACCCCAGGTTGTATAACTCAAGTCTGTTTTCTCAATGTTATCCCTGACCCTCTGGGTCAACCCTGTTTGAAAATGACAACCTTTGCTGATCTCTACATACTGGTCTGCCAGGGAAGGACCCGTGGTCCACAACCCTGTTCAGAATCCCCCATCTCCCTTGGCCAAAATATCCGGCATCTACCAATGGGGCTGTGGCATGAGGGTGTCAATCTCAGGAAAGGAATCTTGAGTCGCCTGGGCCTGCAGCCCTCGTACTTTCAGAACAGAGGTTCTCAGAATTTAATGCGCTTCAGAATTACACTGAGGACTTGTTAAAACATAGTTGCTGGGCCCAGAGTTTCTGATTCAGTCTAGGGTGGGGCTCAAAAATGTGCCTTTCAAACAAGTTCCCAGGTGATGGGTACGTGCCTGACCCAAGGCCACATTTCAGAAGCACTGCTCTAGAAAAGAAGACTCTGTAAGCGGCTCTTACGCTGGGCGCGGTGGCTCACGCCTGTAATCCCAGCTACTTGGGAGGCTGAGGTGGGAGAATGGCTTGAACCTGGGAGGCAGAGGTTGCAGTGAGCCGAGATGGCGCCCCTGCACTCCAGCCTGGGTGAGAGAGACACTGGCTCCCACCTCAAGATCGTTTTAGTTGGTCCAGTGTAAGCCTGGGTATCTGGACTTTTTTATTTTTTATTTTTATTTTTTGAGACGGCGTCTTGCTCTGTCACCCAGGCTGGAGTGCAATGGCGCAATCTCGGGTCACTGCAACCTCTGCCTCCCAGGTTCAAGTGATTCTCCCGCCTCAGCCTCCCGAGTAGCTGGGATTACAGGCACATGCCACCATGCCCAGCTAATTTTTGTATTTTTAGTAGAGACGGGGTTTCACCATGTTGGCCAGGCTGGTTTTGAACTCCCTACCTCAGGTGATCCGCCCACCTCGGCCTCTGAGAGTGCTGGGATTACAGGTGCAATGGCGCAATCTAGGCTCACTGCAGCCTCTGCCTCCCGGGTTCAAGTGATTCTCCCGGCCCGGCCTGGCCTCTAATTTAAAAAAAATTTTTTTTTTTTAAAGTTCCTCAGGTAGGCCAGGCGCAGTCGTCACGCCTGTAATCCCAGCACTTTGGGAGACTGAGGCGAGCGGATCACCTGAGGTCAGGAGTTCGACACCAGCCTGGCCAACATGGTGAAACCCCGTCTCTACTAAAAATACAAAAATTAGTCGGGCGTGGTGGCGGGCGCCTGTAATCCCAGCTACTCGGGAGGCTGAGGCGGGAGAATCACTTGAACCCCGGGAGGCAGAGGCTGCAGTGAGCCTAGATTGTGCCACTGCTCTCCAGCCTGGGGGACAAGAGCAAGTCTTCGTCTCAACAACAACAACAATAACAACAAGTTCCTCAGGTGACTCTGATGTGCAGCCAAGTTGGAAAGTCATCGCTAGATCCGCGGTGTGCAAAGTGAACTGCGGACCGTGGACTGCGGCACTTGTTAGAAAAGCAGAATTTGCATTTTAACACATTCCTAGGTGATTCCGGAGATGTCTGAGAAGCGATACTTTGTCCAGGGGCCACAGTTTGAATAGCAGAGCTCTAGAACAATAACTCTAGGCTTCATTCCCGTTGTCTGTGTGTGGGCCTACGAATATGCATTTTCGCAAGCATTCCTCCTCCCCCTTGCCTCAGACCATTCTGATGCGGGTGGTGCTGAACGGCTCCATCCTCCTTCACGTTCACCTCTCCCTGGGATTTATCTTACTTTCCACCACCTAGACAGGAAGGGGCGAATCTGGCTTCCCATCTCGGTTGTGTGACCCTGGGCAAATGCCTCCCAGTTCGTGGAAGTCTCAGTGTCTAGTAAGTTTTCAATCACAAGTCATTCCTCACATTCATTCATCTATTCCTTTGACAAATGGTTACTGACTACTTCCTGCGTGCTAAGTGCTGGAGATGCAAAATCCAGACAGGGAAACCGAATAATTACGAAAATGACGGTAGACGTACAAAAATAAATCCTAACGAACAAGGCGCGCAGGAGCGCTCCGCCCGGGAGGGAGGTCAGGGAAGTTTTCTCTCCAAGAAGACAACAGAGCTGAGACCTGAAACGAGCAGGCATTAGGGAGCCACCCGTCTCCTCTGTACCTTCTGCAGCGTCCTCAACACACTAAGGAAGCGGAGACGCAGAGGAGAATGACTGTCCTACCATCTGGTCGCCTAACCAGGCAGGGGCAGGACAAAAACTCCATGCCTCACGCTTCCCAACCAATTCTGCTATGCACGGTGCCAGAGACTTAAAGCAGTGTCTCTGGTCCCTTTCTTCTTTCACTCAGCAAATAATGAATTTCAGAGATGTGCCAACATAGAGGCACTTGGAGAAAGACGAGGCAGCTGAGAGGGAAGCTGCTTACCTGGCCGGGACGCAACGGTTGCGACCAAGTCCCACTTCTGCCAGCTACATACACCCTCTTTCACACGCTCTACGAGCAGCTACCGCCCACTCGCCACGCTATTGGTCAAACTAGCATGAATGATAACTTTTAGGGCCAACGAAGAAAAAGGGGTGGACTTTCTTGCCCAGCTCCTCCCACTTGGCCCTGTGGCTGTTTTGATTGGCAGATGACTTCGGCTCGGCCCCCGCTTTAAAGGCACCTGTCTGTCTCCCATTAGGTACGCGGCCCCTAACGCCCACACTCCATGCCTTCCTCCGCTTTCCCCACCCACTTCCAGGACCAACCAATGACTTCAAGGCAGAATATGCCCCCGCAACCAATTAAAAAGAGCTCTAAACTTGACGGACGACTTCCCGCCCCTGGACTGTCGTAGCTCCTCCCCCAGACCAATTGTTTTAAGAGAGGGGGGCGGATACATCCAATCAGCACGACACAGGTCTCTTGATTGACGTTCGGGTCCTCGCGCTGGCGTGTTGTGCCCTGAGGCGGGAGGAGGAGGAGGAGCGGGGAGGAAAACCTGAGCCAATCCTAGCAGCCTGCGCGGGAGGCCAATCGAACGCCGCGCCTTGGAGCGATCACCCAATCCGCGAAAGGGGGCAGGGCGCATCCCTGCCAGGAACCAATAGAAAGCCTCCAAGGGTCAGGAGCGACGTTCAGCAGGAGCAATGACTGGCCTATATTCGGGACTCGGGGGCGGGTCGGCGCCAGAGACGAGAAGAGAGGAGGGGAGGCCTCCTCCGCCGCCGCCATCTTGGACCGGGCCCGGTCAGCTTCCGCGGAGCCATCGGCAGACGCCGCGGCCTCCCTTGAGCCCCGACCCCCGTCGTCAGAACAACCCCGGGCCCACTCCCCCAACCCCACTTCCGCTTCGCGCCGCTATCGCGATAGCGCCCGGGCCCGGGGCGCGAGAAAAAGGCGGCGGGCGCTCGCCTCCCCCGCCTGTCGCGATACGCTCCTCAGCGGCGGCGCCAGCTCCTGTGGTGAGAGCGTCAGGCTCGACTGGGCCGGACCCCTTCCCTTCCTCCCCCCGGCGCCATCGGCCGCCCTCCCCGCCGCCTCCCGCCCTGGCGACACCGCCGTCTGTCGCGACATGGCCTCCCCTCGCCTGCCCCCTGCCGCCGCCTCTGCAGCGCGGGGCTCCCGGCGGGGGGCGGCTCCCTCCCTCTCGCCCTCCCGTTCCTGCGCCTCTTTCACGTTCCTCAGCGCCTCCCGGGGGTCCTTCCGCGACCCGGACCCCGGGCCCCGCCCGCCGCCGCCTCCCCGCGTGGCATCGCGTCGGGCCCCCCGGTAGGGGTGTGAGGGTGCGAAGCCTCCCGGGCGCGAGGTGCCCGCCCCTCTCCGCGTCGGTATTGGCTCCTGGCTGGAAGGATGGAGGCGCCCCTGGTCCCAGGTGCCCGCCCTCTCGGGGCTCAGGTGCCTGCCCCCCTCGGCCTCGGTCCTTCGCGTTGTGGGGCAGCCTCCGCGCCGGGGCTTCTCCCTCGACGGTGGCGGGGAGGGGGGGTGGTGGTCGGGACGAGGACCCCAGCTGGGTGGGGGAGTCACCCTTCCCAGGACCGAGGCCGCCCTCCGCATCCCTCCTCACTGCTCCCGGGAGCGCAGCCTCCCCTGGATCTCAGGTTCCAGCTGCCCGTCTGTATCGGATGGGAGCCTCTTGGGAGAGGAGTGGAGGAGAAACTCCCCGTTAGTTGGAGCCTTTGCCGAAGTTTCCACCTCTGTAGTCTGCAGCTCTTCCCTCTCATAGCGAGTAGCGCCCTGGGTGGCTCCAGCCTCGCCATCCCGCTGCACTGGGCGCCTGCCTTTTTGGGGGAGTTTGGCTTTCCCCCACCTGGGGTACAGGACCGTCCTCAGTGTGGCCCACGTCTGGTCTCAGCTCTCACACTTCTTTGATCCTGGCGTCTGCCCCTGGCTTTGCAGCCTTGAACTCCCCTGCATCGTGACTCTCCGACCTTCTGGGTGTGGGCGTCTCCCAGTGATATCAGGACCACTGTGGTCTTGTTGCTGGGGGCTGCTGGGATCCCCTGGCGCTCAGGTGCCTGGTGAAAGACACTAAGCCGCCACGCTGTCCATGTTAGTGAGCTCCCACTGCGGGCAGCACCAGCCCCTCTTTCTGAGCAGTCCCTGCCTCTCAGTGCAGGGCGGCCACCCACCCCGGGGTGAGCTCTCCTGTCCTTTTGGTGAGGGGTTTTGATGTCTCCCCTCCCTCCCTTCACCCCTGCCTGAGTATGAGGCTTCTTCCATCTTCACACCAGTCTCCTCCTTTAGGGTGTCAGCTCTCCAAGGACCAAGAAGCCCACTGCCCTTGATATTTGCATCAGATCCCACACTGTGGGTTTGTTGACTTCCCATCTACCCTTACGCTGGGTGTCAGCAGTTGGAGAACAAGGGTTTCGCCTTCTGGCCCCGCTGCTGGTACCCCATGAGAGTAGGAAGCTTCCTAGACCCGGGTTCCTGTACTGCGAGGTGGGGGCTCTTCCCTCTGGGGCTGTGCCTTCTCTCCAGGGTAAGGACCCTTTCTTGGTGTCACCTCCCCCAGGGATAAGGTTCTTGCCATCCTTGGTATTGGTATGGCTGCTTTTCTGGATTTGAGGTGTCCACGCCTCTGCATGTGTCCCCACCGTAAGGCTGAGGACCCCTCTCGGATGCAGGTGCCCCCGGCTCATGCTTCCAAAACCCCCTCTTGATTTGTCACTGTATGGGGTAAGGCATAGTTTCCTGGCTGTGTGGATGTAAGATACCTGAGTCTCAAGCGGGAGACTCCACTGTAGACCCTGTCCCTGGGACCAGAGACTTCTCTGGTGTAGACTTTCCAAGGTGGGAGATTCCAGCCCCCCACCCTTGGCATGGGGCATCTCAGTGGAGATGACTACCTCTACCCCAGGCCCTAACGCATCCTTCTTCTGGAGTCTCAGAGCCTCTGTGTGGCCACGTCAGCAGCCACCTGGGTTAAGGATCACCCTTCAACATCACTTCTCAGAGCTCCTTGCTGCAGAGGCGGAAGCTCTCCCAGATCAAAGGTGCCTCATGACAAAGACCACTCTGTGGGCACATGACGGCCCCCAAGGTTAAGGACCACCCGGTGTTAGTTTCCCAGGGCTGACCTCCTGCCCCTCCCTCCTCGAGTCTTTGTGTGGTGGTATCATCTTCCCTGAGATGAAGTCTGGGGGGCTCTTCTTTACTGGTTTTGGCTCTGATTTTAGCGTGTTGGCTCCTGTGAGGCTGGTGTCCTGCTCACCTCCCCCCGCCCCGCCACCCGCCTTGTGGGTCCCTTCCCTGTGGGGATGTGTGTTCCTCTTGGGTAAGTCTCCTCCTGGGCCGAGGTTCCCAGATTCCTCAGTGCTCTTGGAGAGCCTTTGCTGCTGGAGCACAGGTTCTTCACGCCTGAGAGTGGACCTGCGATCACCACCTTCCTTGGAGGATCTTGGTGGATGCCCCCCTGACTACAGCAAATGGGGCTCTTTCTTCTCTGGCGGCGTCTCTGCTTCGAGACTCAGGCTCCAGCTTCCCTTCTCTCTGGTCCTTTGCTGGGGGGACCAGAGGTACAGATACCCTCATGATATAAGGATTTTCTTAGCGGGGAAGGTGTTGTCTCTACTGTGGCTAAGGCTCCAGCCTCTCTAGGGGACAAGTACCCTGGGCCTCTGGCACTTGCCCCTTCTCTGTGGAGGAGCTGCCTCCTCACTGGGTCTCAGCTGTAGCCGACTTCGATGTCACACTGTTCTGTCTGAAACATCACCTCCCTGGGTTAGCGCTCTTGTTCCCCTCCTTCTGGCTTGTGACCCCTCCAGGACTTCCTTCTCTTGCTGCCACAGTGTGGTCTCCTCTCTGTGGGTATTCTTCCTCTGCACTAGGATACCAGTCCTTTCCGTGTGGAGACACAGGGAGGGCGTCACCTGCCTAAGGTGTTGATTGCCTTGTTTAGGGGTGTAGACCATGAGACCTCTTCTCTCTCTGGGCTGGAGCACCTGCCCATGACCCTCTGTTGGGTTCTTGGGATGGAAAGAGGGAGTGTAAACTCTCGTTTCACATTCTTGTTCCCCCTATGCAGTAAGAGGCTTTTCTGTGTTGGGGTGTTGGACTTTGGTGAGGATCCCTGCACACCTGAGCTCTGGTGTCCAGGCCCTTGCCTTGTGTGAGCTCCCTGGGTCAAAGGGGCTTTCCCCTCCTCAGCCTGAATCCCCACTGTGGCACCTTCTCCTGGGTCCTTTTGTTGGTTGCTTTGCCTTCTTAGAGATTCCCCAGGTAGGGCGTGATAGCTGACCTGGGCGGGGGCTGCTGCGGCTTTCTTTAGGTTGGGCCTTTTACTGAGGAGATTTAAATTCCCTCAAGTGTAAGGTAGCACCCCTACCTATTATCACCCAGAATGGGTCCCTGCGGTGTTGGGAAAATTCTCCCTGGGGGTAAGGTACCAGCCCTGTCCTTTATGGGCTTCTTGTTCTAAAGCATATCCGTCCCATATGGTTGCTGCTAGTCACATGTGGTGATTAGTAACTAGTTAAAAATGAAAAATTCAGTTCCTCCATTACACTTGCCACATTTCAGATGTTCAGTGGCCAACAGATATGCGCAAATAGAGTGTTTCCAGCATTGCAAAGTTCTGTTGGATAGCACTGTTTGCCAGATGTTCCCTTCTTTGTGGGTGAGGACTCTTTTGGTGTGACTTCCCTCTGTATTGAGGCTCTTGTTCCTCAGTATGGGGCTGTTTCTGTCTTTACAGTAAGTGACTACTCCAGGGTTCCCTGCCCTGCACACGTAGAGTGGGAGCGGCCCGTGGATCCCAGGGAACTGTGCTTTTCATTGTAGGCCCCCTCCCTGGAGGGGAAGAGGGCAATCTCCGCTGGTATCTCAGAAGTCTTCTTCTGAGGCATAAGCCTCTCTTCCCAGGGCTCCCCTGGTCTCGCTGTCAGGCCCTAAGGTATGTCTTCCCTTGGACTAAAGCTCCTTGGAACTCCCTTTTGACCTCAGTCTTCTCTGGGTTCCAGGTAACTTCCTTTAAAATAAAGACGCTCCTCTCTTGAAGTTTTGGGTTCCTGCCCTGATGGTCTATGTCTCCCTGACTCTAAATTACCAATCCACTTGCTATGGGATTCCTCCATGAGTGCAGATCGGCTCCCTCACAGCTGCGGTACCTTTGCACCCTCTTATCTTAGTAAGATTTCTGTCTTCTCCCAGGTCTCTCTTGGGTACTGCCTTCTGCCCCCAAATCTCTAAGCCTTCTTGGTATTAGCTTCTTTGGGTTAGGAGTGTTATTTCCTTTTGGTTTAAGGATCCTGCTCTGGAATAAATGTCTTGGTGGTTTGAGTCCCTTCTACTTGGCATTCAGCCCTGTCTGCATGAGCGGGTTCAGCTCTTCACAGCTTTCGGCATCTCTGCTCGCCGTCGTTTTCCCCCACCCCCAATCTTTCTTCTCCTACCTACAGCTTACACACACACACACACACACACACACACACACACACACGCCCTTCTCTGTGAGCTGCCAGTTTCATTTGTCTCCTGACTTGTCTGAGGGATGACCTCTCCTAGCCACCTCTGCCCAGCCCCTCTGAGTAGGAAGTGTGATTTCCAGGGCTAATGCCTCCATCCCAGTCATCAGCTGTGTGCAGCATGACTGTCCTGCTCTGAAAAACCTTTTTGAGTGTATTCTGGGGAGAAGGTACTCCATGCTCTAGGAATTTTCCACTTCCTGAGTCAGAGGCACACAAAAAAGTATGTAACTTTTCTTGTTTCAACAAACTTATGGGGTCCCCTGTTGGCCAGACACTATGCTGGGCAGTCAAGCGAGCATCAGGAGAACTGGGGCTGGTCTCTTGTCAGATAGCAAATGCTTCTTCTCTTTACCAGTCCCACCTACCTCACTATGCTGACTAGGTCCATGTCTCTGGGTTTTTACCAGCCAGGGAATACGTGTTAATTCCTCTCCAATCTCTCCTAGCAGCGTCCGTCTCCAAGAGAGTATGAAGAGAGTGCGTCTGTAGGGCAGGGAAGATGGCGGACAAGCGCAAACTCCAAGGTACTAGACTGACTTCCTGCTGCACCTGTAGCCACATGCTCCCTCTTCTGAGGACTGCTCTTTAGATACCTGCCACCTGGGCAGGATTCTCACAGCCTTGTTCCTCCCTGGCCAGGTGAGATTGATCGCTGCCTCAAGAAGGTGTCCGAGGGCGTGGAGCAGTTTGAAGATATTTGGCAGAAGGTACAGGGGCTGAGACCCTAATAATCTGGGTCTTCAGAGAGGAGGGCACAGGAAGGCGGCTCAGGACCTCTGGGTGTTGACCAGCGGGAGGGGCTACATATGCAGATGCTGAGGACCTAAGAGAATCAGCTCTAAGATGGATTGGGGGTAGGGGTTGGGGGGGGTCCTCGAGTCCCTAGCATAAGGAAGAATCACTGGAGTGGGTACTGGGACATCCCCTCCCACACTGACTTCTCAATTCTCTCCATCCCTCAGCTCCACAATGCAGCCAACGCGAACCAGAAAGAAAAGTATGAGGCTGACCTAAAGAAGGAGATTAAGAAGCTACAAGTGAGGGGGCTGGGGGCCTGGACGCCTTTGTCCTGAGGGTAGAGGGAACTGGGAGAGTGGACTGCTGGGTCCCAGGGAGAAGGAGCTGTGGGCCCCAGTTCCTGGGTCCTGAGGTCTGACTTTCTTGCTTTTCCCATCTGCAGCGGCTGAGGGACCAAATCAAGACATGGGTAGCGTCCAACGAGATCAAGGACAAGAGGCAGCTTATAGACAACCGCAAGCTCATTGAGACGGTAGGAGCCCAGAGCCTGAGTCCCAGAGAGGTGGGAAGGTCACCAGATTCTTGAGATCCCAAGGGGCGGAGGCAGAGCGGCCAGACCCCAGAGGTCCTCAAGAGAAGTAAGGTTTCTGCACCTAAGGGAAGTGAAGAGGCAGCGGACTCAGAGCTCAGAAAGTAGGGTCACGAGGCTCAGGTCGGAGTGTCTGCTGGCCCTTAGTCAGCTCCTTTCCCACCTTTGAGAGCCCCCCTGCCAACTGCACTCTCTACAGCAAATGGAACGGTTCAAAGTTGTGGAACGAGAGACCAAAACCAAAGCTTACAGCAAAGAGGGCCTGGGCCTGGCCCAGAAGGTAGATCCTGCCCAGAAGGAGAAGGAAGAGGTTGGCCAGTGGCTCACGGTGAGTTGGGGTAGAGAAGAGGAGGTGAACTCTGAGGATCCTGAGCCCTGGGTGTAGGCGGAACCCTAGCTGATGGGCTTCCTCTTCCTCTCCCTCCCCTAGAATACCATCGACACGCTCAACATGCAGGTGGACCAGTTTGAGAGTGAAGTGGAGTCACTGTCAGTGCAGACACGCAAGAAGAAGGGCGACAAGGATGTGAGTGAGGGAGACCCGACACCTTTGGGATGGGGATGGGCATGGGAATGGGCTGGCCAGCAGGAGGCCAGTCATTTATGCTCCTGGGAGTTGGGGCCTGGATTCCTCAGGCGGACAGGGCCAACAGCCGGGATTAGGGATTTGAGAGACAGGATTGGGAGGGCTTAGCAGCTGCACGCGTGGGGCAGGAAGGAGGTCAGACAGAATCTCAGGGTCCCCTGGGTGTCTGGGTAGACCGTGGGGCCTTTGTGAAGAGGAGCGACTTGGGGGAAGGTGAGTGCAGGTTGAGCTTGGGCCACAGAGTAAAAGTGAGACCTGAAGGACACCCATGGCAAGAGGCCTCCTGGCACCCAGAGGGCCCTGGTCCTAGGGAGAGCACAGTGGGTAGAGACAAGGCAGAACATGGAGAAGGCAGAGAACCAGGCCTGAAGGAAGACAGGAGTCTGGGACAAAGCTGGATGTTGGGGTCCCAGGTTCTAAAATCCGGGATTGTGGGGTATGAGTTCAAAGGGATACAAACTGTACAGACTTGCTGAAACCAGAAAGACAGGGAGGGGAGAGCCGGGTCCTCAGGGAAGCTGTGGGTGGGAGAGGGTCAGGAAGTGGAAGATGACAGGGTTGGGTGTCAGACTCTGAGGGGTTTGGGAACCAGGGGCTTTCGGGGAGATGATGGGTCCTTGAACAGAGCAGAGATTTGGAACCAAGGCTAAGATGTTAAATCCTAAAGGGGCCTTGAGGGGAGGGCAGGAGCGAGGCTTAGGAATCTGGGCTCTCTCAGGGATAAATGGGTAGGGTTGGGGGCCTAGTGATGACAGATATCACAATTCTAAACAGCAAGCTCCTCACAAATGGGGGTTATCATTGTTACTGCTGGAGCAGGTCGGAGGGTATCTGTATGCCAGAGGCAGTCACAGTGGTGGGCGGGCTCAGTTGAGAAATCTGGGCTGTCAGGTGAGGTGCAGATGGAGGCCAAGTCGTGGGATGGCACAAGGACCTCTGGGTCTTTTAGAGGTTTCCAAGGACTCCTGGAGCCAGAAAGGTGTGGGGAGAGGAGGGAGCAGTGGGATCCCAAGATGTCAAGGCTAAGATTGGTCCCCACAGGGCTCAGAGGGTGGGTGGACCCCATACTGCCCCACCCCGAAGGGGATGGCGTGGAGGCTTTGGGTCTCCACAGGGGTCAGGGACTGAGGACAGGTTCTGTGGGGGCAGGAGGGGCCAAGCAGGTGCTCTGCAGCCCCTGAGCCTGGCCCTGGGCTCGCCAGCAGAAGCAGGACCGGATTGAGGGCTTGAAGCGGCACATCGAGAAGCACCGCTACCACGTGCGCATGCTAGAGACCATCCTGCGCATGCTGGACAATGACTCCATCCTCGTTGACGCCATCCGCAAGATCAAGGACGACGTTGAGTACTATGTTGACTCATCCCAGGACCCCGACTTCGAGGAGAACGAGTTTCTCTACGATGACCTGGACCTCGAGGACATTCGTGAGGCCCTGGGGCTGATCGTGGCACAGGAAGTGAGGGCCCAGAATGGGCTGTGTGAGCCAGCTAAGCATGCCCTTCTTCTGCCCCCACAGCACAGGCGCTGGTCGCCACCTCCCCTCCCAGCCACAGCCACATGGAGGATGAGATCTTCAACCAGTCCAGCAGCACGCCCACCTCAACCACCTCCAGCTCTCCCATCCCGCCCAGCCCAGCCAACTGTACCACGGTGAGGCCCCACGGGACACTAGTACCTTGTGTTTCCAGCAGGGCAGGACTCGAGGAGACAAATCTGGGTCACTCCAAAGTGGCTATGGGAGCGTAATTGAGGAAACACAGATCTAGGTATCCAGGGTCTAGGCTCTTGGAGCACACGCTAAGGTCCTATATCTGGGTCCCTAAAGGACATAAAGAGCAATAGGGTGCATCCCGCGCCAGTTTAGGTCCTGGATCTGGGAAGTGGGAGGGGCCGGTGCCTGGGCTGCCTGAGGAGGCTGGGTAGCTGGCCACCTTGGGCAGGGATCCAAGGGTTGGCTTCCCTGTGGAGAGCAGGTTCCCAGATCCTTAAGAGGCTGGTGGGTCAGTGCTGGCTCCCAGAAAACAAGAAGACTGGAGAGCCTGAATTGAGATGGTTTCTCCAGGCAGATTAAGGACAGCCATTTGACCAGCTCTGGGGCCGCAATGGCAGTCAATTGGGCCCAGGTCCCCGGGGCATTCAGAGATTGGCGGTTCTCCATCAGAGCCCCAGAGGTCACACAGGTTTCTATTCTGCCTCCCCTACCTCAGGAAAACTCTGAAGATGATAAGAAGAGGGGACGTTCCACAGACAGTGAAGTCAGCCAGGTGGGTGTGAGCCTGGACCGGGTGGGCACGCCATTCACTCCTCTGTTGCTTCCCAAAGGCATCTTGAGGCCTGAGCGCCGGCCACTGTGCTGGGCTGGTGGACACAGGTGGCTCAGAAATCAGTGCTGCCCTGAGGGCAGGTGGGCAGGGCAAGTGGACAGGTGACTGGTGCTGTGGTCAAGGGGGTAGCACACAGGTCACCCTTGGCCTGGCCAGGCAGTCAGGAGATGCTGCTGTGGAGTGCCCTGGGCTTCACAGTCAGGTGAGTTTGCCTGGCAGGGAGAGGTGGCAGCCAGTAACATGGGCAAGTTGTGACAGAAAGTTTGGAAGTGAGGAGAGATGAGTCTGGCCAGGTCTGCAGGGCCAGGGCCCAACTGTGAGCACAGGGACTGGGACTGTCAGGCTGAGGGGCTCAGGCTTTGTGGACCTGAGTGGCCTCCAGAGTCCAATAAGCCTAGGAAGCGATGGGGCCTTTGCTGTGCTGATAATACACACTGCAAATTTCTGAGAGGAGACGGTGGCGGGCAGTGCTTCTTCAACTCCTTTAACATCTCCCAGGACAGGAGCACGCTTTCGGAAACGCTGCTACAGAACAATGTTAGGCAGGAGCAGCATGGGCCTGAGGCCCCTCTGTGGGCTAACGGGATGGATGGTTCCAAGGGGACACCCTGAGTGGGCATTGAGGAGGCTGGTGTGGAGACTAAGGGGACCCGCAGGTAGTAGTGAGGGCGGGCAACAGGGCCAGGAGGTGATGAGGAGAGACACTGAGGCAGGTACTCCAGGGGCCAGGCTGGGCTCTGCCACCTTCCCAGGCCCCCACTGCCAAGCAGCGATGCCCAGGAGAGAAGTGGGTAGTCAGTCCTGTTGGGCGCTTGGTAAGCGCAAGGTGCCTGTGGGGTGGCTGGAAAGAAGCCCAGGAGGTGGTTAGGCTCAGCAGCCGGAGTGCTGTCCACAGATTGCCTGCGGTAGGGATACCATGAGCACATTTACCCTCCCACCACTTTCTGGAGTGCTGGTAACTTCCAGCCCTGTGAGTAGCTTCTGTGACCCTTCAGGTGACATTCAGAATTACTATCCAATTTCCAGCTGTTTTTCCTTCTACTCTTGGACATTAGGCGGCTCCAGCTAATCTCATATTGAGAACACTTAAGTGTTTCCCACTAGTCCTCTGGCTTCCAACAGATGGATCTTCTCTGGCTGACAACCTAAGTTGTGTGTCAGATCCCTGTGGGGGTGTCCATGGGGCGGTGTCCAGGCAGGACTTGGGAAGCTGGGCAGGCTGGAAATCAGTGTGAGTGTTTTAAGCATGAAGGTGATTGAAGCCATGAGGGTGAGTAAGGTCACCCAGGTCCCCAAGAGGGCAGGAGCAGGTGGGGGCAGCGAGGCCAGAGAGGAGGCTGCTGGGACAAAGATGGAGCCTGAGGTGGGGGTGGTGAGGGAGACCAGCTGGCCCACTGGGTCCTGACCCTCTGCTCTCTCCCACCCGCAGTCTCCAGCCAAAAACGGCTCCAAGCCTGTCCACAGCAACCAGCACCCTCAGTCCCCAGCTGTGCCGCCCACCTACCCCTCCGGCCCCCCGCCTGCTGCCTCTGCCTTGAGCACCACTCCTGGCAACAATGGGGTCCCCGCCCCCGCAGCACCCCCAAGTGCCCTGGGCCCCAAGGCCAGTCCAGCTCCCAGCCACAACTCGGGCACCCCTGCTCCCTATGCCCAGGCTGTGGCCCCACCAGCTCCCAGTGGGCCCAGCACGACCCAGCCCCGGCCCCCCAGCGTCCAGCCTAGCGGAGGCGGAGGCGGCGGCAGCGGAGGTGGAGGGAGCAGCAGCAGTAGTAACAGCAGTGCCGGTGGAGGGGCTGGCAAGCAGAATGGCGCCACCAGTGAGTGAGGAGGCAGCGGGGTGGGGGGCGTGGGCGGGGCTGGGCAGCAGGCAGCAGCCCTTTCCATTTACTCTTTGTTCCCAGGTTACAGCTCAGTTGTGGCAGACAGCCCGGCAGAGGTGGCTTTGAGCAGCAGTGGGGGCAACAATGCCAGCAGCCAGGCCTTGGGCCCCCCTTCCGGCCCCCACAACCCACCTCCCAGCACCTCGTGAGTGTCTCGGCCATCGGCAGGGTTGGGATGGCAGCCTTTTGAAACAGAGAGGCGCAGGCGCCTCACCCCCGCATCGGTGGGTTCTGAACCCCCCGCCCTTGCTGCTGGGAATGGCCAAGCGCTATCCTCCATCTCCCTCGGGTGTTACACCCCCACTTCTTTCCAGCAAGGAAACTACATCAGCCTCCCTGCTTTGCCCTTCAGAACATTCTAAAATACGTTCTCATCTAAGTGGAAGTTTTCTCAAGAGCCCCATACCCTTTCCTCCCCATTTCTGTTACCTGCCTGAGGCCAATTGACTGCCACCGGAGGGTCACTGTTTCACTTTTCAAAGTGAATTGTCCCGAAGTCCTTATTCCTCTGCAGCCACTCCTTCAAATCTTAGCTCAGACCATTCCACTGGGTCTGCCTGTTTCCCGAAGAATGCCCTAAGAAAGATCAGTGTGCACAAAGGAAAGGCCTGCTTCCTGCCCCCTCACCCCAGCTCCAGCTGGCCTGCCCAAGGGGGAGTGGGCCCTGTGAACACCTGCCCAGGGCAAGTGGTTTTGATCAGCCTGTGGCCTGGTGGAGCACCCGAGAATCCTCACCCCCACCCCCACAGCTCTGCTCTGCTGATGAGAAACCATTCCAAAGATTGGGCTCTGCCTTTGTTTGCCCAGAGAACCACTTCTTTCTCCCATCTGTCTGCCCTCACCTGCCCCTCTCAGATCCCATCTGATCTGTGCAGTCTCCCCTCTCTCCAGCCAGGCCTCTCTGCCCATCCCACCCTCAGGGACCCTCCTCTCAACCCCCTCTTCCATGCTCTCTCTCCAGGAAGGAACCCAGTGCGGCAGCCCCAACGGGGGCTGGGGGCGTGGCCCCAGGCTCAGGGAACAACTCAGGGGGACCCAGCCTCCTGGTGCCACTGCCTGTGAATCCTCCCAGCTCCCCAACGCCCAGCTTCAGTGATGCCAAGGCAGCCGGTGCCCTGCTCAATGGGCCTCCACAGTTCAGCACCGCCCCAGAAATCAAGGTGGGCTCCTCGGACATCCCCCGAGCCTCTGTGTCCTGACTCTGTTGTTTCTTTCCTCCAGGTCTCTAGCTGCACCCCCTGCCCCCACCCTCTTTCTGGATCTCTTTCTCTGGCTTTCTGTCCCCTTCTCACACTTGCTCTTTCTCCAGGTCTTTCTGTACCACCCTCCCCGTGACCTTGATCTCTGGGGGCTCTCATACCTCCTCTCTTGTTCCCTCCAAAGCTCTGTTTCTCTGGGTCTCTTTTCCTTTCTCTTGGTTGCACTTGTTGCTTGCTCTCTCTGGGTCTCCATCTTCATCCCCCCCGCAGGCCCTCAGTTTCTGTCCCCGTTTGTCCTCACAAGGCATAGACTGGTGTACTTTCTGCACAAGTAGAAAGACTGGTTGGGTGAATGCAGCCTGGTTCCACCCTTTAGGAAGCTTCCCTGCTGGGGCAGCTGCAGGGAAGGTTGCGGTGGGCCCACCGAGGGGCATCTGACCTGACCTGGGAGACAGGCCCAGGAAGGTCTGAGAGGGGGTGATGTTTAAGCTGAGACCTGGACCAGGCAGGGGGGCTAACAGCTGCAGGAAGGGCTTCAGGAGGTGCTTTAGGAGGAGCATGCATCTGCCTGTGTGCTTAGGAAGCTGGGCAGGATGCAGCAGAGAGGAGAGAGGTGTCCACTCTGCAGGAGACAGTGCCACCAGCTGCAGGGCTGAGATAGTGGGTGTAGCAGGATAGGACGGTGGGGTCCTGATCATCGAGGGTCAGGAGCTGGGGCTTGGCTTGTGAGCCAGTATACTGTAGCGCAGCTTCCATGGGGGGACCAGTGTGTATGCCCAGGCTGTCCAGGAGGCAGTGTGCGCGCCCAGGCTGTCCAGGAGGCAGTGTGCGCGCCCAGGCTGTCCAGGTCCAAGTCTTGGCATTGTCCTTTCTGTGCCTTCATCTGGGAAACGGCAATAGTCACGATTATACCTACTATGTAGGGTTATTTGGAAGACTAAATCATCCTCATAAAGCTCTTGGAACAGTTTCTGGCCCAACAGAAGCATTAATTTTTTTTTTTTTTCTTTTTTGAGACAGAGTCTTGCTCTGTCACCCAGGCTGGAGTGCAGTGGTGCAATCTCAGCTGAATGCAACATCCGCCTCCTGGGTTCAAGCGATTCTCCTGCCGCAGCCTACTGAGTAGCTGGGATTACAGGCGCCTGCCACCACGCCAGGCTAATTTTTATATTTTTAATAGAGATGGGGTTTTGCCATGTTGGTCAGGCAGGTCTTGAACTCCGAACCTCAGGTGATCCACCCACCTCGACCTCCCAAAGTGCTGGGATTACAGGTGTGAGCCACCGTGCCCGGCCCAAATTTTAGAAGTAGGTGGACAGGATATTTATAGTGCGTGCATTTTTCTGGAAAAAGGGAAACAGCAGCTTTGAGATTTTCAGAAGGGGTCCATATCTTTTAACACCACCAACAACAAAAATGAATCGCTGGGGTGGGTGGTCGGGAACCATGGCAAGGTTTGGAGTAGAGAAGGAACAACATGACTTCATTGGAAAGGTCCCCTGGGGCTGGTGAGGACAGGATAGAGGGAGGGTGGTCTGGGCAGGAGAGGACAGGCCTGGGCTGTGTGGGACATGGTGGCACGACAGGGAAGGGAGCCATCCAGTGGGGTTTAGAAGCAGGACGGATAGCTGGGCGTGGTGGCTCACACCTGTAATCCCAGCTCTTAGGGAGGCAGAGGCGGGAGGATAGCTTGAGCCCAGGAGTTTGAGACCTGCCTGGGCGATATAGCGAGACAGAATGGATAAGCCTTGGCGACTGACTCGTTGTGGAGAGTCCAGCACAGGGCTGGGGTTTGGGACAGCTGCACGTGGCTGGAGGAGATGGGAGGAACCAGCCCTGACTTTGGGGAACAGAAGCCTGCTGTAACCTTTGTAATAGGAAACGAGGCTGTGGCTGCGGGGCTGGAGACCCAACCTACCTGTTTCCAGCAAGGAGACTGAAGCCTAGCCGGGCTGGGCCCACCCCGATTCCAGTCACCCCATGCCAGTCACAGGCAGACAGCTGAGCATGTAGACCTCCTGCCTCCTTCAAGACAGGCGGGAGCTCTCCCAGCGTGTAGGTGTCCCTAGTGAAGGAGCGTGTACTATTGGCACATCCTTTGACAAAAATGGTAGCGCACTGTACATATTCTGCAGGTTGGCGTTTACTTCTGTAGTATGTCACGAACTTGTATTTTGAAAATCTCGGCGTAGTATTCCATGCTGCAGAGTCCCACTCACGAGACGTTCCTCTGCTGATGAATGCGTCGTGGTCTCCGATTGTTTCCCTACAGTTTGATGCTTTTACCTGTCATGGGTAGATTGTGGGGAGTGGGTCGTTGGCCCTCCACGGCCCCCAAACAGGGCAGGTGAGAGCATCTGGGGCCTGTGTCAGGCTGCACTTGCTCCTGCAGCCCAAGTGCTCAGGCCAGGCCTCTTGTTTCCTCCCCAGGCCCCTGAGCCTCTGAGCTCCTTGAAGTCCATGGCGGAACGGGCAGCCATCAGCTCTGGCATTGAGGACCCTGTGCCAACGCTGCACCTGACCGAGCGAGGTGAGGGACCCAGGATGGTGGGGAAGCAGCGGGCCAAAGAGGAGGGGCTGCCCCTGACCCATCCTCACCACTGAGGGGGCCGGACCCCCACCCTCCCCACAGACATCATCCTGAGCAGTACATCAGCACCTCCGGCCTCAGCCCAGCCGCCCCTGCAGCTGTCAGAGGTGAACATACCGCTGTCGCTGGGTGTCTGTCCACTGGGCCCTGTGCCCCTCACCAAGGAGCAGCTCTATCAGCAGGCCATGGAAGAGGCCGCCTGGCACCACATGCCTCACCCCTCTGACTCTGAGCGTATTCGGTGAGGGGCCACAGGGAAGGGGGATGGTCTGGGACTTGAGTCTTACGGAGGAGGCAGTGGCTGAACCTGTGAGGCTGTGGGTAGAGCACCAGGCCCCTGACTTGGGCTCTCCACTGAAGGTCAGCACCGCCCTGGGTCTTTCTGTACCACCTCCCCCCGCAGGGATGCATGTCTGAGCACCCTTTTGATCACGACAGGACTAGTAGGCAGCTGGCACTGACCTTCCTGTTGCTCTCACAGGCAGTACCTCCCCCGGAACCCCTGTCCGACGCCCCCCTACCACCACCAGATGCCACCCCCACACTCGGACACTGTGGAATTCTACCAGCGCCTGTCGACCGAGACACTCTTCTTCATCTTCTACTATCTGGAGGTACAGCAGGGCCCCCGGGGCAGCCTCGGGCCCCCCGGCTTCGCCGCCACCGCCGCCGTCCCCCCTCGGGCTGGAGGGGTGAGGTGGGTGCCCCACTGCGGCCACTGGGACCGCACCCCCTCCCTATTCCCACTCCTGGGCCCCTGCCCCAAATCCACCTGTCCCCGTCCCCGCCTTCCAGCCCAGAGATGTTAGAACTGCTTGGGTTGACAGCGAGGCTGGTCCACTGAGGCACACCTCAGCCCCGCTTCCAGTTGCCCACTGGCTCACCCGCGGCCCCTCCCCAGCCCTGCTCCAGCAGCCCCAGTCTAGGCCGACCCCACTCTGCTCATCGGCACATTCTCAGGCCTCCCTGGAGACCACTGGGGAGCTGTCCAGCCCCCTCCCAACCCCAGTGAGTCATGAGTGACCTCCACCCTCATCCCCACTTGGGAAATTTTCTAAATTGCCTCCTCTCTCAGCTCTCATCACACATTAGTTTTTCTTCCTTCTCAAAGCTTCTCTGAAAGCAATTTTCACCTCCTGTCTCATTTTCCTTCTCCTGATCAGCATTGGTATGTTCTGTGCCCCCAGCCCCATCTCCAAGAGGATTGTCCAGCCCAACTGTGGTCTGTGGCGGGGGCCGGGGTTCAGCCCTGATGTCCTGCCCCATTCCCCTGGCTCCCCACCCAGTTTGGGGGCCCCCTGATCCCCCTCTCCACTGTTCCTCCCCCAGGGCACTAAGGCACAGTATCTGGCAGCCAAGGCCCTAAAGAAGCAGTCATGGCGATTCCACACCAAGTACATGATGTGGTTCCAGAGGCACGAGGAGCCCAAGACCATCACTGACGAGTTTGAGCAGGTGAGGGCCCCGCCCCCTCTCTTCCCGCTGCTAGGGTTGGGGTAGAGTCCCCAGGCTCCAGGCAGCCCCTGCTGGCCTCTGCTCCCTTGCCTCCACCTTTCAGCTGGCGCAGTCCCTCAGCCTGACCAAGTACTCCTCCCTCTGGCTGTCTGCTCAGCCTGGAACACCGCCCTCTCATCCTCCACTTGGCCAGCTCCTAGGCCTCCTGTAGGTCTCAGCCCAAATGTCCCTTCCTCAAAGAAACCTTCCTGGAGCCACCCAGCCCAGTGCCTCCCCTTTGCAGTGCTGGGCACACTCGCTTGGGGTGTGGGATTTTCCCAGTATGTGTCCCTGCACCAGGCTGTGGGCTCTGCTGCCGAGGGACCTTGATGGCCCCCACTTCACCTCCAGGTCCCAGCACTCAGCAGGGCAGGGGCTCAGTGCCGAAACTATTTTTTTTGAATGGGCTTCTCAAGTTCTAATACTGGGAAATTCCTGCTGCTTGCAAACACTCTGGAACCAACCTACCTGGGTTTCAGCCCAGTCCAGCTGGGCGACTCTAGGCAAGTCACTCGAACCTCTGTGTCTCAATTAACTTATCTGTAAAAATGGGGGGAAGACCACCTACCTAATGCAGTTGTTATGAAGATTAAATGAGTTAATAACATGTAAGTACTTAATGGTGACTGCTACATAGTCAGTGTCATGGATTTTTTTTTTCAAATTACTTTCAGTTGGTGTGTTCTACAGTGATGTTTTTTTCCACCAAATACTTCCCTGATGCCGAGCCCCTTCATGGGGATGAAGTAGTACAAGGTCCTTGTCCTCAGAGAACTCAGTCCCCTCTCCTGGTTCTCCCAGGTTGCCATCTTTGAAGCACTTAAGACATTCATTTAGAACCTAGGTCCTCTCCCATTGTGTCCTCAGATGTTAACCACAGACTTCCTGTCCTTTCCTGGTTTGGCCCAAAACCATCCTCCAAGTTAGTACATTTCAGGGCATCCAGTCATTCAGAAATTCCCACACCACTTCCGTCACCAATAAAATGTCCCTGCAGAGTGCTTGGATTTAGACTCTGAGACTGTTCCATTCTCTAGAACAAGGGTGACAGTACCCACTGCCTCGAGGTCTTTGTGAAGATTAAATGCTAGGCTGTGCATCCTGTACTCACGTGAGAGGTGCTCAAAAGCCACAGCCCTCGAGGAAACGAAGGCTGTGCACTCACACCTGGGGCTGGGGCCCCGTTCTGGCAGCTGGCTTCGGTGGAACCTCTGCGGCCCCCTCCGTTTCCTCCTCGCTGAAGTGGCATGATAACATTTCCTACCCAAGAAGAACCTTGTGAGGATGGATGAGAGTGTGTGCGTGCAGGGCAGCTGGCCCGGTGCCTGACACATCCACAGCCCTAAGAATTGTCCCCTTTGTCTGTTGGTCCGGCCCAGATCCCAGACCACCTCCTCGTCCACTCACTGACCGCCTTCTCCCCCGGCCAGGGCACCTACATCTACTTTGACTACGAGAAGTGGGGCCAGCGGAAGAAGGAAGGCTTCACCTTTGAGTACCGCTACCTGGAGGACCGGGACCTCCAGTGACACCGGCCCCTCCCTCTACCCACCCCCTTCCCCCGCATGCTGATCCCCCTGCCCAGGTGAGGGCCCTGCCCTGGAAGACTGGAGGGAGGCCCCAAGCCACGGGGCATCCCCCTCTCCCAGGAAGCAGGGAGGGGGCCGGGAGGTTTTCCTCTCAGCCCCACCCTGGGGGCCCGGGGGCGAGGGCTGCCCCCTCCTCCCCTCCCCAGTGAGGGACATTTTTTGGTAAACCTATTTTCATTTTGGAAAATATTTATGAATAAATAGTTTTATATGACGGCTGGCAGCAGCGGCCTCTCCTGTACCCCCTCAGGAGTCAGTGAGTAAGGTGAGGGTCCTGCTGGCGGGGGCGCCGGGCCAGCTGGGGGTTGAATTGGGAGTTGTACCGCCGCCGCCGGTCATCCGTCTCGTCTTCTTCCGGCTGACCCTCCTGTAGTGCCCGGCCTTGGACCCGGGCCAGCAGGGCCTCTGCCCGAGACCTCTCAGCTGCTTCCCTCCGCAGACGTTCAGCTCGAAGCTGGTCCAGGGATGGAGGCCTGTGGGGAGAGGAGTGAGGTCAGAAAGCTGGTAGCCCCTAGGAGGCCATTCCCCCAACCTCTCCCATAGAGGGAGCTGCCGCCTGGAAGCCCCGCTGCATCCAGCACACCCCAGCCTCAGCTCCTTAGGCCTGCTGGAAGCAGCCACTTGGTGCTGGGACGCCATGGGCACGTCTCTGGCCTTCCCTTCTGTGGGCTTTGGTCCTCCCCAGTCTTTAAAATCTGATGCTTCTCCAGGTCAAGAAAGCACACTTAGCAGCCCCCTGGCCCTCAGTTTCCCTTTCTAGAGGAAAGAAGACTACAGGCAGTGTACCCCCTCTAGACCAGGGGTGCAGCATCCTGGAGACAGAAGCCTGCTTTTACTCTCTAACCCAGCAGCTCTCAAACTCTTTGGTCTCAGGACCCCTTTATACTCTTAAAAACCAAGGACCCCAAGAGCTTTTGTTTAAATGGGTTCTCTTAATATGCTGCAAATCATTAGTGAAAACTAAGAAAGTTTGGACACAAGCATCTGCCATTGGCCATCAGAGTGAGGGTGTCTCCCCATCACACAGCCTCTGGAAACCTGCACTACATGCCTGAGAACACGAGTGGAAAAGTCCACCAGTGTCAGGAAAATAGGCTTGACACCACAGCACCCCGGGAAAGGGTGTCAGGACCCCTAGGGCTCCCTGGACCACATGCTGAGAACCACTTCTCCACCTAGCCAGCCCTTCACGGAGTCCCTGGCTGTCCTGACCAGAGACGCTGCAGTGCCCATGCTGGGCTGCTGCCAAGCCCTGAAGGTCTGGGCCCTGGTCTGCCGAGGTGGGGTCTTCTTACTCCTTGGGTCGCTGCTTCTCAGACCCCTCCTTTTCCTTTCTGCTGCGACTGCCTTCATCACCGCCGTGCTGTCTCTTCTTCCCCAGATGCTTCTGCATCTCCCGCAGAGGGTCCAGACGGCTCTTGATCTTCTCATCTGGGGCTGGGCCGGGCGGGGGGCCCCCTCGCCCTGGGGGTAGCTGGTACCAAGGGGGTTGAGTCTGTGCCTCCGCTGCACTCTGGCCCAGGTATGTCAGGATGCCCAGAGCTTTCTCTTGCCTCTCCTGAGGGGGCCAGGAAATACAAGAGATGTGATATAATCTTTCAAGGTGTCAGGTGTGTCTCCCTGACACAGGTATCTAAGCGAACAGGTATCTAAGGCTTGTTATGAACCAGTTGGACCAGGTGCTGGGGATGGAAGACAAACAGAGGCAAAGCTCCCCCTGGGGGGACAGTAGCAGGTACAGTAACAGCAGGGGAAGGAGGGGACAAGTGGAGCCACTTGAGTGTTCAGAGGCAGGCATCTTTGCAGAGAGACTTGAAGAGAAGCCTGAAGGGATCAAGCAAAGCAGAGGAGCGATGGGTGGGGTCAGCAAGTCCAGAGACAGCAGATAAATGACAAGAGCTGATGTACCTCTTTTTTTTGAGATGGAGTCTCGCTCTGTTGCCCAGACTCGAGTGCAGTGGCACGATCTCGGCTCACTGCAACCTCTGCTTCCCAGGTTCAAGCAATCCTCCTACCTCAGCCCCCCGAGTAGCTGGGATTACAGGCACACACCACCATGCCCAGCTAATTTTTGTATTTTTAGTAGAGACGGGGTTTTGCCATGTTTGGCCAGGCTGGTCTTGAACTTCTGACCTCAGGTGATCCACCCACGTTGGCCTCCCAAAGTGCTGGGATTACAGGCGTGAGCCACCATGCACAGCCACTGATGTACCTTTTACACTTGATCTTAGCCAAAAAGCAAGAGGCGATTGATTCACTTTTTGTTTGATTGTTTTGAGATGGGGTCTCGCTCTGTCACCCAGGCTGGAGTGCAGTGGCGCAATCTCGGCTTACTGCAGCTTCCACCTCCTGGGTCAAGCGATTCTCCTGCTTCAGCTTCCCTGGGATTACAGGCGCGCACCACCATGCCCGGCTAATTTTTTTTGTATTTTTAGAGATACCATGTTGACCAGGCTGGTCTTGAACTCCTGACCTCAGGTGATCCACCCGCCTCAGCCTCCCAAGGTGGTGGGATTACAGGCGTGAGCCACAGCCGGCTGATTTAAATTTTTAAAAGCCCATCAGGTTTGAGACTCCTCCAGTTTGGAGAACTGAGCGGTTTGCCCAGCAGCTGGGGACCTCTAGCATCTACCTCCAACCCCTGTGGGCGCCCAGACGGCAATAGCCAACGCTTTTTGAGTGTCATGCCTTGGTATGGTCCTAAATTCTGTGTGTTCACTCTTGTTTGACCTTGGTCACAACCAATGGCTAAAGTGCCCCCTCCCTCCAACTCGATTCATGGCCCCTCTGATGAAGTGGGTGAGGCCAGCTTACTTTCTCCTGTCGCTTTTCTTCCTCGTACTCTTTATTGCCTCTGATCACTCCTTTCCCTTCCTCCAGCAGCTCCCGAAACAGGTCCACAGGGCCAGAACCTGGGGCTCCCGCCTCTGCTGCTTCAAGCTCAGGCAGTGAGTTCTGATGTCTGGCTTTCTTCCGTAGGAATTCTGTACGGGCCTGGGGAGAAAGTTATAGGCAGGACATTCAGAACCTAGAGGTAATTCAAGAACTGTGAGTCTGGTGCCCACCACAGAAAATGGCAGTCCAGGGTGCTGGGGTTATGAGAAAGGGAGCACTAGGCGCCTAAAAGAGGCACCTGTCCTAGCTGGGGGTGAGGGTAGGCAGATGAGGCAACGCCTGGGTTTTGTAAACTCCCTTTCAAATAGTAAACCACGGGTCATCAAGGATGTATGGGAGGAGGTCCCTGGCCTAAACCAAAGGGGTTCCTAACCTCAAGTGAGACAATTAAAACAGCCATAAAGGTATGCATTAGGCCAGACGATCTGAATTCTAGCCATGGCTCCAAGTGACTACCCCAAGTCTGCTGAAGCCCTGTCCCCTGCCTTCAGGACGCGGATTTCAAACAGCGCTCAGCAGCCTACTGAGATTCTAAAAACCTAGACTACCTCCCACCCACGGCGGAGGATCAGACTAGCTAAGGAAATGAAAGTTGGGTGTACACCAAACAGATTTAAAGAGCCATACGGAAAGCCCGTGTTTGTGTGTATGTGTCTAGGGGGCGGTGCACGAAAGGGCTCGCCCGATGGCGTGGAGCCTGGCTGTCCGCCTCTCCTTAAAATGTGCCTTCCCCTCACTGAAGCCATCTCACTTCGTGCAACAGAGATGACAGTGCCCCTCTAAGAACGAACAGTGCTTATTGGGGATTCCGCAAGTCAGGTGCACGGCATGTAGTTAGCATACAGTAGATGCTCAATAAATAGGCTGTGCAGGCAAACTAAAAAGTGATCCGAATTTCCTTGAACTGTCCAAGGGTTCACGGATTCATTAAATGTTAAGCTTCTCTTTTGTGCTAGACACTGTTCCAGCCATGTGAAATACATCAGTGGGGGAAAAACTAAGACGAGGGCGAGATCAAGGAAGGTTTCGTGGAAGTGGGCACAAGGTTTGCGGGGCAACGTCCTCGAAAGTGGGATCGGCGCCTGGTCCCGAATTTCACACGGGGCACATTGAGCCTGCGCAACGCCTCCGCTTCCGGCCCCCAACCGCGGCGCCTGCGCGCTGGGCCCCGGAGCGCCGCCCTGCCGGCTTCCGAGCTTACCTCTTGCTGAGCCAGCAGCACCCTCCGCTCACGCTCCTTCTCCTCCTCCCGGGCCTGGGCCTCGTCACGCCGCACGCGGGCGACATTGTCCTTGTTCCGGACGTGCCAGCTCTTCTTGGGCAAGATATTCATGGCGTCGTAGCTGTCCAGGGACTGGCACGCCCGCCTCTTTGCACTTCCGATTGGCGAGAGGATGCCCCCCTTTTTCTTGTCCCTACTTCGACCGCGGATTGGTTCCGAATTAGTTGGTACGGCCCCCTGGCCTGTAGCGACAGGTGATTGGCTGAGACGCCCTTTATCACAGCGAATGCTAGGCGTTCGGCTCGTGGTATCCCCTAGCAACCGCCTCTTGTCACAGATCTGAACCAATCATAAGTTGGCCCGCCCCTGATGCTACCAGATGCGGCCGTCGATTGGCCGACATGACCGACAAGTCTCCTTGCGGAAGAGCGCTCTGCACCGACAAACATGCCCGTACATTTGATTGGCTCCTGCCCCGCTGTAGCCCTGCCCCCACCTTCAGGACGCAGATTTCAAAGCGCGCTCAGCAACCTCGGCTGTATTTATTGATACAAGGAAGATCACCCGAGAGTCAGGGACGTGGCGGCGAGGGGCCCTGGAAATCTCCAGATACCAAAGCTGGAAGGGCGTGGAGTCTTCTCCAGTTCTCCTAGTTTACAGATGTTGTGACCTAGGCTTACAATGGGCCTGGGGTCTGAAAGCGGGACGTGGGCTGCGGGGGTCAAAGAGCCGGTTTGGTGGAGGTCAGCGCCACAGCGCGCCGTGCCAGGAAGACTTTATTCTGCGCCTCCTGGGGCAAAGAGAGGTGGAGGTGAGACAATCCTCTTCCCCAACCCCTTTCCATGTTCCCCAGGGGCCCTCTCAGGGACCCGCCTGGCTCACCGTCTGTCTCTGACGTTTGAGCTCAGAGATGAGGCGTCCGTAGGAGTTAGCCAGAGCCACAGTGTACGCCATCAGGATGCTGAAGGAGACAGGAACGGAAGCCACTCCTGACACGCTCTTCCATTATATCCAAACGTCTGGCTCCTTCGAAGCCAGGGATGTGGACGCCTAAGCCCCTCCTCGTCTGGGCTCAAGGAGTTCAGTCTCCCAGCCCCTCCGCCTTCAGATCCAGGAGTCCTACGTCCCGCCCACCTCCTCCTTCGGACCCAGCAGTCCAGGAGCCTAGGCCTCCTCCCTCAGACTCAGTACGTTGCCTGCTCCCACGCCCAAGCCTCTCCTCTCTTGGACGCAGGTGGTGGCCCCCAGATCACACGCATTCAAACCCAGACCCAGAAGTCTGGGCCGTCTCACCTGGAGATCAGCAGAAGGGGCACAGCAAAAGCCTGGGTCCCCAGGAAGAAGAGGAAATTCTGGGTGGTCTCAGGGAGGCTGGAAATAGACTCAGGGATCTGGGCCCAGATGGACGACTGCCCCCGGAATGGACCACAAAGCTTAGAAGGCGGGATCCTGAAGTCAAGACAGGCTGGGCTCACATAGTGCCAGGAGTCTGAACACTGAATGGGGAGAGAGGGAGGGAGAGAGGCGGGAGCCTCTCGCACTTACAGGAAGATGCTGTAAAGCAGGGGAACGCTGGAGATGGCCAGACCCAGGAGAAGGACCAAGGGGAAAAAGAAATTCGCCGCGGAGGCCCGGAAGGTGCGGGCAGCCGGGGAGCAGGTGGAGAAGAGGGTAAGCTGGTGGGGGAAGGCACGGAGAAAAGGGCTCTGAAACACAAGAGTCTGTGCCTCCATTTTTTTTTTTTTTTTTTTTGAGACAGAGTCTCGCTCTGTCGCCCAGGCTTTTTTTTTTGAGACAGAGTCTCGCTCTGTCGCCCAGGCTGGAGTGCAGTGGCTCTCACTGCAGCCTCCCCTCCCGGGTTCAAGCTATTCTCGTGTCTCAGCCTCCCGAGTAGCTGGGATTACAGGTGTGCACCACCACTCCCGGCTAATTTGTTTTGCTGTTGTTGTTGTTTGTTTGTTTTCTCTTTTTGAGACGGAGTCTCGCTCTGTCGCCCAGGCTGGAGTGCAGTGGCACGATCTTGGCTCACTTCGACCTTCACCTCCCTGGTTCAAGCAATTCCCCTGCCTCAGCCTCCTGAGTAGCTGGGATTACAGGCGCCTGCCACTAAGCCCGGCTAATTTTTTTTGTATTTTTAGTAGAGACGGGGTTTTGCCATGTTAGCCAGGCTGGTCTCAAACTCCTGACCTCAGGTGATCCACCCGCCTTAGTCTCCCGAAGTGCTGGGATTACAGGCGTGAGCCACTGCACCCGGCCTACCTGCCTCTCCTTTTTTCCGAACCAGGAGTCTGAGCCCCTTCCTCATCTAGGACCCCGGAGTCTGAGTCCCCAGATCCTCAGACATATAAGTCAGAATGCCCTAGACCCCTCCTCTCAGATGCAGTAGTCTGTCCTCCAACCCCCTCCTCTCTCAGGACCGAGTAATCCAGGCCCCCAGGATCTTCCTTGCCCTTGACCCAGGAGTGCGGGCCCCAATACCTCCTGCCTCAGACCCAAGGGTCCCCCCTACCCCTTACCTTCTTCAGGTAGAAAAGCAGCAGGAACTTGACCGTGTTAAGCAGGGGCAGTAAAGGGCAGAAAAAACTCCCCACCCAGACCACCGTCTGCGCGTAGATGAGCCCCAGCACCTCGTCGGGCACCTGGAACTCCTGGGTCCCCGCCAGACGACCCAGCGCCCCAGGACAGAGGCCACAGAGGAGCCTGAAGGACGGGGCGGGGCCGGGCCGGAGTCAGGGGAGTGGCGGCCTGGAGTTTCCCCGCCTCCACCGCCCCGCCCGCCAATAGGAAGCATGCGTATTGGTTGGGGGGGGGGGGGCGGGACTTTCAGGACTCCACGTGGAGGGGGTGTGTCCAGAGGGCGGGTCCTGAGGACTAGAAGGGACCCAGATGTCGCCGCCGTCGGGGCCAGAGGGAAGTAACCCACTAAAACAAGGGCGGGGAGCGGGGAGATCTGCGGACCTAGGGCAAGCAAAGGGAGCAGGCAGAGGCGGGAATGGTAAAAAGGTGCGCGGTGAAAAGAACAGCGCGATGGGGCACGGCCTCGTCCTAGAGGGGCGGGGCCACAGCAAGGGGCGGGGCTCTCACTTTCTAGGAAACTGGATGAGCAGCGCGACTGCCAAGACAGTCAGCAGATCAAAGAGCAGAAGTTTGTACATTTCCTGGCCCAGGACAGTCTCCCAGCACTGAAGAAGGAAGAAATATATCAGAAAGAACTCGGGACCCGGGCACCTGGAGGCCCACGCGTCCGAGTCTCCACATCGCAAGCCTATGAGACCCTGTCAATACTTTCTCTGGGGGTCCTCGTTTTTCAAACTTTCATACCCTTGGGAGAGTGTTCCAGCACCCCAAGCTCCCCTCTCCGCCCAAACCAAGAGTCTGGACCCACCCAGCTCCATCTTTCCTTCAGGGACCCAAGAGTCCCACGCACACCCATGCCGTTCTCACCGGAAGTTGTTTGTAATTGTAGCCACAGGTTTTGCAGTCCTCAGCCTCGGAGTCGCCCCCACAAGTGATCTGATTCCAGAGAGAGAAGAGCAGGACCACCAGGGAGGCGAGGCGAAGAAACACGGTCCTGAAGGGGGGAAGGCAGAGAATGGGCCCTGACCCGGTACCCACCATGTGGCAGTTCCCTTCTCAGTGGAACGCGCCCGCATTCAACCCATCTCACAGATGAAGCTGAGGCCCAGTGACAGAATCAGGATTTCTTTCTTTCTTTCTTTCTTTTTTTTTTTTTTTTTTTGAGACAGGGTCTCACTCTGTCACCCGGACTGGAGTGCAGTGGCGCGATCTCAGCTCACTGCAACCTCCACCTCCCAGGCTCGAGCCATTCTCCTGCCTCAGCCTCCCGAGTAGCTGGGACTACAGAAGCCACTACCGCCGGGCTAATATTCGTATTTTTACTACAGACGGGGTTTCATCATGTTTGTCAGGCTGGTCTCGAACTCCTGACCTCAGCCTCGGCCTCCCAAAGTGCTGGGATTACAGGTGTGAGCCACTGCACCTGGCCAACAGAGTCAGGATTTGAATCCCTGGATTCGGTATCAGCAGGATTTCCGTGTCTTACCTGTCAGCGCCAACATCCCTCTGACCGCCCCCACCCTTCATCATTCCCAGCCATCCCCGTGAGGCTGGAACCTGAGCAGGATAAAAACGATCTGGCGACTCCGAGTGTAGCCCTCCAGTGGAGCAATGAGCTTGAACACGGGCGGCAGCACAAAATTGACCCCAGCGATGAAGATGGACGGAAGGTAATTCACCCCAAGCTTCAGCAGTGGCAACTCCTGGACAAGGGGCATCTCCTGGGAGCGGGATGGACCATGAGTAGAGGCTTGGGGTCCTGGAGGAGCCAAGCTTAAGGTCCTCCCCCCGGCCTCTTCTTCTTCTTCTTCTTTTTTTTTTTTTTTTTGAGACAGAGTCTCGCTCTGTTGCCCAGCCTAGAATGCAGCGGTGCGATCTCGGCTCGCTGCAACCTCTGCCTCCCGGGTTCAAGTGATTCTCCTGCCTCAGCCTCCTGAGTAGCTGGGATTACAGGCGCCCACCACCACGCCCGTCTAATTTTTGTATTTTTAGTAGAGACTGTTTTTCACCATGTTGGTCAGGCTGGTCTGGAACTCCTGACATCGTGATCCGCCCGCCTCAGCCTCCCAAAGTGCTGGGATTACAGGTGTAAGCCACCGCGCCCAGCCTCTCTTTTTCCTTTAAAATCCCTAAGTCCAGGGTCCGAACATACCCTCTCCCATACTTCCTCTCTAAGATCTCTGGCATCCCAAACTTCCGTCCCCTCCCTCCACCGTTGGAAATGTAGGTTCCAGGACCCCCTGGCTTCCTCTTCCAAGACCGTCCGCACCTGCAGCTCCACGGTGCACCCCGTAGCCCAGTAGACGCCATAGAAGGCTGCCCCCAGGAGCGCGACCACCAGCAGGTTGAGCAGCACCCGCACCAACCAAACCCTGGCTTGCTGGCCCAGCGTCCGCACCGCAGCCTGGCGCCGCACCACTGTCTCCTCCAGCTCCACCTGAAGGCAGGAGAGATGCCCGCTTGGACTCCATTTCCCAAGGCGCGGGCCTCCCGGTTCCCCAGGTCTGGCTCTCCAGAGATCCTCCTTAACGTGAACTGATGCAGCCGTCTCCCCACCCGCTAACAACCTCTGCAGTCCTGGTTCCACCCGCTCCAGGAAACCAGCGGCCCTTTACAGCCCCGCCCCTTCGCGGCCGGATCCAGCAACCCAAGCCCCCATCCCTCCGCGGTCAATCTCAGCACCCCAGGCCCCGCCCCTGAGGCTCCGCCCAGCATCCCAAGACCCGCCCCTGGTCAGCCCTGCCCATCAGAGGCTCCGCCCCCAGGTGGCCCTGCGCTTTATTCCTGGCCTGAAGTTCCAGTTCAGCTGTATCAAGACGCCCTGCTGGCCGCTCCCATCACTTAACTTTGAACCAAATTGCCTTAGGCCCCGCCCGCTTCTTGTGCTTACTTAAAAAAAAACAAACTTTTTTTTTTTTTTTTTGGTAGAGAGGGAGCCTCCCTATGTTGCCCAGGCTGGTCTCGAACTCCTAGACTGAAGCGATCCACCTGTCTCGGTCTCCCAAAGTGCTGGGGTTACAAGCATTAGCCACCGATCCCAGCCCTGGCGCATCCTTTTCCTACACGCTTGGAGCTCGGGCAGCCCTATCTCGGCCTCCTCTCAACCTTCTCATTCCCCAGGACCTGCCTTTCTTGGAGAAGGAGCTGCTTAGCATCTCTCCGGAGGCCCCATCACCGAGTTAGGCCCTGTGCGTTATCTCAGCCCGGTCCTGTCTGGTCCCTACCCAGTTGCAGACCCCGCTCCCTAATCGCACCTTTAATTCGTACAAGATGATGCGCTGGCGCAGCCGCACGTGGACGTCCCCGCAGAGACCGAAGTCCCAGGCCGAGAACACCCGGTGGCTGTAGCTGGTCAGAGCCTCGGACTCCGCCAGCAGTGTCTGCTTCAGCCCAGACACCGAGCTGAGAGGGGAGACCCGGGAGACGGGAAGTGAAAGGACAGCCAGGAACGGGGGTTATGGGGAGACCCCTCATATTGGGACAAATGGGGAAGATGAACCCTAAGGCCTTGGGTACTAGGCGAGTTCCCACCAGACCAGATGGGGAAAGAGTCAAAGAGGCGGAGACACAGTCATTGAAGGCAAAGTCCAAGGGAGATTCAGAGACAGTTCTGGGGTGCAGGCACCCCAAAGAGAGGCAGAAACCTAGGAGACAGGGACAGAGCCTCGGAGCGAAGGGGGCAGAAACCCAGAGTGAGAGAAACAGAGGCCCTGAGGAAGACAGAGATGTGGAGGAGGGACAGAGGCCCCAGAGGGAGATTCGGAGAAAGGGAGAAAAAGACAGTGAGAAAGGGGAAACTACATCTACAAAAGATGGGGGTCAAAGACCCATAAGAAGTACAGGCACACAGAGAAGGGAGCTGCGGCGGGAAGAGCCGAGAAGAAGACAGAGACCCAGAGAAGATGGCAGGTAAAGACTCAAGAGAGGGGGCAGGCCAGGCGCCATGGCTCACGCCTGTAATCCCAGCACTTTGGGAGGCCGAGGGGGGAGGATCACCTGAGGTCAGGAGTTTGAGACCAGCCTGGCCAATGTGGTGAAACCCCGTCTCTACTAAAAATACAAAAATTAGCCAGGCGTGGTGGTGCATGCCTGTAATCCCAACTACTTGGGAGGCTGAGGTGGGAGGATCACTTGAACCCAGGAGGTGGAGGTCGCCTCCAAAAAAAAAAAAAAAAGACCCAGAGAAGACGGGCAGGTAAAGAGACTCAAGAGAGGGGGGCAAAGACCCAGGAAGGAGATAGAGAACCCCAGCAGGGGCAGAAACAGAACTGGACAAAGAGACCATGTGCACCTTCACTGCCCTGGCCCCGGCCCCCATCATCTCTCATGTGAACAACCACAGAGGGCCCTCACATGGTCTCCTTGCTTCCACTTGTGCCCGCATATAATCCATTCTCAGTTCTTGAGCCAGTGGGACCTTCTTTTGATGCAACTCAGACCGTATTCCCCTGTTTAAGACCTATTCCAGGGCTTTTCCCTTCTCTTAAAATCGAGGCTCTTTGCCGGGCGTGGTGGCTCACGCCTGTAATCCCAGCACTTTGGGAGACCGAGGCGGGTGCATCACCTGAGGTCAGGAGTTCGAGACCAGCCTGACAAACATGGTGAAACCCCATTTCTACTAAAAATACAAAATTAGCCGGGCATGGTGGCACATGCCTGTAATCCCAGCTACTTGGGAGGTTGAGGCAGGAAAATTGCTTGAACCCGGGCGGCGGAGGTTGCAGTGAGCTGAGATCGCACCACTGCACTCTAGCCTGGGTGACAGAGCGAGACTCCGTCTCAAAAAAAAAAAAAGTTGACTTTTGGCCAGGCACATTGGCTCATGCCTGTAATTCCAGCACCTTGGGAGGCTGAGGTGAGCAGATCTCTTGAGCCTAGGAGTTTGAGCGCAGCCTGGGCAACATAGCAAGACCCTGTCTCTATAACATTAAAAAAAAAATTTTAGCAAGACATGGTGGTGCACCCCTGTGGTCCCAGCTGCTCCCGAGGCTGAGGTAGGCGGATCAGTTGAGTTCCGGAGGCCCAGGCTTCCGGTGAGCTATGATTGCACCACCGCACGCTAGCCGGGTGACAGAGTGAGACCCTGTCTCAAAAAACAAAACAGACTGGGTGCGGTGGCTCACACCTGTAATCCCAGCACTTTGGGAGGCCGAGGCAGGTGGATCACCTGAGATCAGGAGTTCGAGACCAGCCTGGCCAACATGGCGATACCCCGTCTCTACTAAAAATACAAAAAATTAGCTGGGCGTGGTGGCCGGAGCCTGTAAACCCAGCTACTTGGGAGGGTGAGGCAGTAGAATCGCTTGAACCCGGGAGGTGGAGGTTGCAGTGAGCCAAGATCGTGCCATTGCACTCCAGCCTGGGCGACAGAGTAAGACTCTGTCTCAAAAACAAACAAACAAAACAAATGAAAAACAAAAACAAATCCCAAAACCTTGATCTTTTTTTTTTTTTTAGATGGAGTTTCGCTCTGTCGCCCAGGCTGGAGTGCAGTGGCGCAAACTCGGCTCACTGCAAGCTCCGCCTCCTGGGCCACCGCTCCTGGCCCAAAACCTTGATTTTAACTCACACAGAATAAAGGGTTACACAGCAAGACCGAGGATTCTGGGGCCGGGCGCGGTGGCTCACGCCTGTAATCCCAGCACTGTGGGAGGCCGAGGCGGGTGGATCACGAGGTCAGCAGTTCAAGACCAGCCTGACCAACATGGTGAAACCCCATCTCTACTAAAAATACAAAAAAGTTAGCTGGGCGTGGTGGCGGGCGCCTGTAATCCCAGCAACTTGGGAGGCTGAGGCAGGAGAATCGCTTGAAACCGGAAGGCGGAGGTTGCAGTGAGCCGAGATTGCGCCACTACACTCTAGCCTGGGCAATAAGAGCAAAACTCCGTCTCAAAAAAAAAAAGACTGAGGATTCTTGGGGAGGGGGTTTCTGCCACCACCACTTGCTCCCCCACCCCAACCCGTCCCGTCAGGGGTCAGGGGTGCAGGTGCCACTGACCGATGCAGGATGAGCAGGAGGCAGATGAGGCCAACGGCAAAGGCCCAGCACAGGTAGGTGACCGCCAGGCGTGGGCGGGGCGGGTAGAAGCCATAGAAGAGAGGGGACCATTCCAGGTAACCCTGTGGGGGGAAGGCGGCGCAGGGGCCACTGTGGGAGGAGGCGGGGCTCCTGGAGCTGCACAGTCAGGGTCTGGGGTCAGGGTTTGAGGTTCGTGTCATTGAAGGCACTGGGGTCACAGGTGGGCGGGGAATCCCCCAGGGACCCAGGCACCTACCTCACCCGAGAGCAAGTTGAAGAGCTGGGTGGCAAAGGTGACCAGGCCCTGGGAGTGGGGGTTATAGGAGCCGCAGGGCGAGGAGATGTCGGGGCCGGGAGGGCCTGGGGGAGCGCCTCCCAACCAGGTGGGCAGCAGCGTCATGCAGGCCATGAGCACAGAGGCCAGCACGTTAAGAAGGAGCAGGAAGCGCAGCAGGGAGAAGTAGGACTCCGTGCCGGCGCCAAACTGGCCTGCAGGGGGCAGCAGAGAGAGGCTCAGGTTCCTTCCCGGGAGCAGGACCAGCCCCTCCTACCCCTGGACTGGGGTCCAGCCGCGCCTTCCTTTCTTTCTTTCTTTTCTTTCTTTTCTTTCTTTCTTTCTTTTCTTTCTTTCTTTTTCTTTCTTTCTTTCTTTCTTTCTTTCTTTCTTTCTTTCTTTCTTTCTTTCTTTCTTTCTTTCTTTTCTTTCTTTCTTTCTTTCTTTCTTCCTTTCTTTCTTTTCTTTCCTTCCTTCCTTCCTTCCTTCCTTCCTTCCTTCCTTCCTTCCTTCCTTCCTTCCTTTCTTTCTCTCTCTCTCTCTCTCTATATATATATATATATATTTTTCTTTTCTTTTCTTTTCTTTTTTTTTTTTTGAGACGGAGTTTCGCTCTGCCGCCCAGCATGGAGTGCAGTGGCGCGATCTCGGCTCACTGCAACCTCCGCCTCCTGGGTTCAAGCAATTCTCCTGTCTCAGCCTCACGAGTAGCTGGGATTACAGGCGTGCGCCACCATGCTCAGCTAGTTTTTGTATTTTTGGTAGAGACGGGGGTTTCACCATGTTGGTCAGGCTGGTCTCGAATTCTTGACCTCAGGTGATCCACCCACCTCGGCCTCCCAAACTGTTGGGATTACAGGCGTGAGCCACCGCGCCAGGCCCAGCCGTGCCTTTCTCAGACCCAAGAGTCCAGACCCCCAGCCCCTCCTCCCTCAGACCCAAAAATCCAGGCCCAAGCCCCTCCTCCCTCAAACCCAGGAGTCCGTCCCCAGCCCCTCCTCCCTCAGACCCAGGAGTCCAGGCCCTGCCCCCAGGACACCACCCAAACCCCACCGCACCCCCGATCCTCTTCAGTGTCCACGCCCAGGGCTGCAGGCTTCGCAAGCCTTCCTTTGTTTTCTCCTTGGACCTCCGAAGTAGCCGCGCCCATCGGTCCGTCTTAGTTCCAGAGCCATAGACCACCTGGTCCCTGCTGGCATTTCTTTGCCTGGGAGGGAAACAGGCAGAAAATGAGGGGTTTCGCAGCCCCAGACTGGGAACCATCTGAATGTAGACACAATCCAACAGTAGAATGGAGAAGTAAATTGTGGCCTATACATAAGATAGAATACTCTGTAGCAATAAAAAAGAAACCAGCTGGGTACAGTGGCTCAGGCCTGTAATCCCAGCACTTTGGGAGGCCGAGGTGGGTGAATCACCTGAGGTCAGGAGTTCGAGACCAGCCTGACCAACATGGTGAAATCCTGTCTCTACTAAAAATACCAAAAAAAAAAAAAAATTAGCTGGGCCTGGTGGCGGGTGCCTGTAATCCCAGCTACACGAGAGGCTGAGGCAGGAAAATTGCTTGAACCTGGGAGGTGGAGGTTGCAGTGAGCTGAGATGGCGCCATTGCATTCCAGCCTGGGTGACGGAGTGAGATTCCAAGAAAGGAAAGAAAGAAAGAAAAGAAAGAAACCTAATGCTAGGCAGAAGAAGCCAGCACAAAAGACTGAAGACTGTATGATTCTATTTGCACAACGTTGCAGAGCACAGCTTGCAAAGCTCTACAGAAAAGCAGGAGGCTGGAGTGGGAGGATCGCTTGAGCCCAGGTGTCGGAGGCTGCAGTGAGCTGAGACTGCACCACTGCACTCCAGCCTGGGCATCAGAGCAAGACTCTGTCAAAAAAAAAAAAAAAAAGGTTAGGGAGAAGAGGTTACCTTGTATTTGTGAGGAAAAAGGGGGTGTCAGGGGAGGGACGCACAGGGTGCTGTCATGCCGTGTCACTTGCCCTAGCTGGAGTTTATCTGGGCTCTCACTTTATGAATACAGCCATCCCTCAGTATCCATGGGGGTTGGTTCAAGGACTCCCCAAGAATACTGAAATCTGTAGATGCCCAAATTCCTTATATAAAACGGTATAGTATTTGCATACAGGCTACACACATCCTCCTGTGTTTGTTTTATTTTATTTTAATTTTTATCTGATTTTTACAGACAAATGTCTCGTTTTGTTGTCCAGGCTGGAGTGCGGTGGTGCAATCATAGCTCAATGCAGCCTCAAACTTCCAGGCTCAAGCAATTCTCCCGCCTCAGCCTCCCAAAGCGCTGGGGCTACAGGTATGGGCCACGACACCCAGCCCTCCAATGCACTTTAAATCACCTCTAGATTACTTATAACACCCGGTACAAGGTAAATGTTATATAGATAGCTGTTCTTTTAACTTGTATTATTTTTTGTCATATTGTTACTTTGATTATTACTTTTAAAAAATAGAGATGGGGGTCTCGCTATGTTACTCAGGCCGCAGTATAGTGGCTATATTCACAGGCATGATCCCACTACTGATCGGCGTGGGAGTGTTGATACATTGTTATTTTTTATTGTTTTTTCCATATATATACACATATATATACATATATATGTGTATATATATACACACATATGCATATATATACGCATATATGCGTATATATATACGCGTATATACGCGTATATATATATTTGAGATGGAGTCCCGCTCTATCACCCAGGCCGGAGTCCAATGGCACGATCTTGGCTCACTGCAACCTCTATCTCCCTGGTTCAAGCGATTCTCCTGCTTCAGCCTCCCGAGTAGCTGGGATTACAGGCACCCGCCACCACACCCAGCTAATGTTTGTATTTTTAGTAGAGTTGGGGTTTTGCCATGTTGGCCAGGCTGGTCTTGAACTCCTGACCACAGGTGATCCACTCGCCTGGGCCTCCCAAAGTGCTGGGATTACAGGTGTGAGCCACTGCAATGGGCCCATAATCATTTTTGAAGGAGGGCACCTGCATTTTCATTGTTCACCAGGCCCTGCAAATTATGCAGTGAGAATGGGAAAAGAAAGAAGTTAAAGAGAGGGAGGCTTGGAAGAGGAGGCAAAGATGAAGGAAGGTATAAAGCAGAGAGAAATAAATATTAACAGATTTTGGACACACACACAGAGAGAAACTGAGGCAGAGACAGGATTGGTGGAGACCAGGGAGACGGCAAATCCCAGAGAGAAGAGACCCCAGAGCCATCGAAAGGCAGCACTCACCTGGAGTCCGAAGTAGAGACAAAGATGAGGGGAAGAAAGAAACCAAGAGAGGCAGCTCTGAGCGGGGCAGAGAGAGGCCCCAGAAGCCAGGAGCGGCAGAGGACAGAGGGAGGAGACCGAGTCCAGGGTATGGGAGAAGGGCCCGGTCCGGGCTGTGCGGGTCCCAGCTGGAGGTGGGGCCTCACCTGTGTGCCCGTCTGGCCTGCATGGGCCAGGGCAGTTCCCGGGAAGGGTGAGGGTCCTGCAGCTCTGTCTGGGTGACTTCTGTGAAGGCCTTTCTGCTCCTTCCTCCATCCTCCTCCTCCTCCTCCAGCGCCCCCCAAGGCAGCACCCCAGGGTCTCGGTACCGAAGGGTGGCAGCACTGGGCAGCTCGTTCAGCACAGAAGACAGCGATGGGCCTGGGGAGGAGCAGGGGGCTGGGAAGACCCGGGAGTCTGGGCCCTAATTCCTCCTCCCTCAGACCAGGAAACCAGGTCCCCGGCCCCTCCTCCCTCAGACCCAGGAGTCCAGGCCCCCGGCTCCTCCTCCCTCAGACCCAGGAGTCCAGGCCCCCGGCTCCTCCTCCCTCAGACCCAGGAGTCCAGGCCCCCGGCTCCTCCTCCCTCAGACCCAGGAGAACAGGCCCCCGGCCCCTCCTCCCTCAGACCCAGGAGAACAGGCCCCCGGCCCCTCCTCCCTCAGACCCAGGAGTCCAGGCCCCCGGCTCCTCCTCCCTCAGACCCAGGAGAACAGGCCCCCGGCCCCTCCTCCCTCAGACCCAGGAGTCCAGGCCCCCGGCTCCTCCTCCCTCAGACATAGGAATCCAGGCACCCAGCCCCTCCTCCCTCAGACCAGGAAACCAGGTTCCCAGCCCCTCCTCCCTCAGGCCCAGGAGTCCGGGTGCCAGCCTCTACTTCCCCTGGACCCAGGGGTCCACAGCCCTCAACTCCATCCCCAAGCGTGGAACCCTCCTACTCCAGGGCAGTGGAGTCCAGGCTTCAACTTCCTTTTCCCTCTAGCTCAGGAGTGTGGGAACCCAGCCTCTCCTATTCCCAAGACACCCAAACTCCCAGCCCTTAGCCCTCCCCTCCTCCCAGACTAGCCTGGTTCTCCAGGCTCCTCCTCCTCAGACCCTGGAGTTCCAGCCTCCAGTTCCCTTCTCCCCCATAATATCAGGAAGTGGAACCTTCTCTCTTTAGCCCTCAGACTCAGGAGGCCAGGCCTCCCCTTTCCTCCTCCAGCAGGACTCCCACCTAGCCTGAAGGTCGGATGGATCTGAGCTTCTCCTGGCATTCCCTACCTCCTCTGGCCTCCCGGGGGGCCAGCCACCCCCTAGAGGAGCCCCAGGCTTCTGATTCCAAGGTCGGGTTTTCTTCCATGGCCCAGGCTGGGCTGTCTCTAGTGGCCACCAGGCAGACACTGCCCCAGGTAAGGGAGGGGCCAGGGGCAGGTGTGTACCTGGCCAGCAGGTGGCCCGGAGGGAGTAAGGTACACTTCCTGTGGTTTCTCAGGGCCGCTGATGCGAAAGGTCTCCTGGGAGCTGAAGTCCCCGTGGTGCCCCGGGCCTGACAGTTTGGTTCCTGGGCTGGGCGGGGGGGCTGTACCTCACCCTGGGACTTGGTGGACTAAGTCCTTCCCACCGTTTATCACCCAGATACCTGCACGGACAGGATGCCTTTGTGCAACACTTTATTGGGAAAGATTTACACACGGTGACCTGTCATAGGCCAAGCGATGAGAAGAGGGCGCCAGGAGCGCTGGGGTCCCGAGGTGGCTCAGATGGAAGCCATGGGACGGCCGTCCCCAGGCCCGCGCACCCGCACCTCAGTTTCCCCTTTGTGAAATGGGAAGCTTATGCTTCCTTCCAAGTCTGCAATATTGGTGCGATGAGCTAAAAGTGGAGCGAAAGACACAAGGAAGAGGCTTCCCACTCCCAGGACCTGCCCCCAAGCTCCGACCCCACATTGTGGATGCAAAGAAAGGGAATTTGCCCAAAACCCACTGCCCAGGGGCCCCTTCCGTTTTGGGGAAGTGCAGTGCTCTCTGGATACCCAGAAGCTGGAGCAGGGGCCAGTGACTCTTGTCTGGACAATACTTTGATTTTGTAGGAGTGGAGGTGGCCTCTGGGCAGAGGGCAGGGAGGACACCCCCGGGTCTGCTTCAGTTGCAGGCAGGGTATTTAGCTGGGGAAGAGGAAATTCTCTCCAGGACCCTCTCCAAGGTAAGGACTCTTTCTGGGGAGGAGACAGCAGCCTGGTTCACAGAATTCCCGGGACCAGCTGGCAGAGGGAGCGTCGTGACAGCTTACTCCTCCCGGAGCTTCTCTGGGGCAAGGCTGGTGGGCTGGGATGCTGCCTTCCGCCGGCTGGGGCTGCCCCCACCTAAAGCCAGCCCCAGCCCCAGGGCTGCCAGGGCCAGGAAGTGGATACAGAAGTAGATGGAGGCCCAGTACCGAAGGGTGTCGGCCAAGGAGAGCAGCACGAAGCCCATGCACATGTAGTCATAGGCGCGCATCTTCAGGAACCAGTGCACCCAGTCCCAGGCCTTCTGGCCCCCTGGGCTCAGCCGCCCCCGCAGGGCTGACTCCAGCCGGCCCTCGGCAGCCAGGCACAGCGGGATGGTCAGGAA
Organism: Homo sapiens; assembly: GCF_000001405.40. NCBI lineage: Eukaryota > Metazoa > Chordata > Mammalia > Primates > Hominidae > Homo > Homo sapiens. Next base: position 149,176 of record NW_003571056.2, read on the forward strand.
GCTCAGGTAGTAGCCCGGGTGGAGGCCGTGCCAGTAGGCGCTCAGCAGCATGGTCCAGGCGCTCCTGAGGAGGAGGCTGGGAGTCAGGACCTACGAGTCCAGGTCCCCAGTGCCCACTGCCCCCAGATCCAGGAGTCCAGGACCCCAGCCCCTCCTCCCTCAGACCGAGAAGTGCAGGCCCAGCCCCTCCTCCCTCAGACCCAGGAGTCCAGACCCCACCCCTTCCTCCCTCAGACCCAGGAGATCAGGCCCCAGTCCCTCCTCCCTCAGACCCAGGAGACCAGACCCCACCTCCCTCCTCCCTCAGATCCAGGAGTCCAGACCCCACTTCCCTCCTCCCTCAGATCCAGGAGACCAGACCCCACCTCCCTCCTCCCTCAGATCCAGGAGACCAGGCCCCAGGCCCTCCCCACTCAGACCCATGACCCTAGCTCCGGAAGGCGGAGGAGGCTACAGGCCTCTGTCTCCTTCAGGGATCCAGGAGCTCGCAGCCTTCCATACACACTCAGTCCTATCAAGACCCTCTTCTTCTTTAAAGATTTAACATTTTATATTCCACTGCCCTTCCTCTCCCAGGACCAACAAGTCTTAATTCTTCAGCCCAGTGGTTTTTTTTTTTTTTTTTTGAGACAGAGTCTCGCTCTGTCGCCCAGGCTAGAGTGCAGTGGCGCGATCTTGGCTCACTGCAAGCTCCGCCTCCCAGGTTCACGCCATTCTCCTGCCTCAGCCTCCCGAGTAGCTGGGACTACAGGCGCCCGCCACCACGCCCGGCTAATTTTCTTTTCTATTTTTAGTAGAGACGGGGTTTCACCGTGTTAGCCAGGATGGTCTCGATCTCCTGACCTCGTGATCTGCCCGCCTTGGCCTCCCAAAGTGCTGGGATCACAGGTGTCAGACACCACACCCGGGCAGCCCGGTGGTTCTTAACCTGGGGTCCCAGGTCTGGCATCAGCATCACCTGAGAACTTGTGAGACATACAAATCCTTGTCCCCACCCCTTTTGCACCAGAAGCCCTGGGGGTGGGGCCCAGGAGAAGTCTTCCAAGTTAACAAGTCCTCCAGTGACTCTGATGCCTGTTAACATTTGACAACTCCTGCCTGGCTCATGAAGATCCAGAAGTCCCTGGCCTGTGGTCCTTCCTTATTCTGGGCCCAGGAGATATGTTCCTCTTCCTCCAAGGCCCAGCACCATCTTTCCTCACTCTTTTTATTTTTTTGGAGACAGAGTCTCGCTCTGTTGCCACACGACAAGGCTCACTGCAGCCTCTGCCTCTTGGATTCAAGCGATTCTTATGCCTCAGCCTCCCAAGTAGCTGGGATTACAGGCAAGCGCCACCAAACTCAGCTAATTTCTGTATTTTTTGTTGTTGTTGTTCAGACGGAGTCTCGCTCTGCCGCCCATGCTGGAGTGCAGTGGCGCAATCTCGGCTCACTGCAACCTCTGCCTCCCGGGTTCAAGTGATTCTCCTGCCTCAGCCTCCCGAGCAGCTGGGACTACAGGTGCCCACCACCATGCCAGGCTAATTTTTGTATTTCTGGTAAAGACGGGGTTTCACCATGTTGGCCAGGATGCTCTCAATCTCTTGACCTTGTGATCCACCCGCCGTGGCCTACCAAAGTGCTGGGATTACAGGCGTGAGCCACTGCACCCAGCCATTTTTGTATTTTTAGTAGAGATGGGGTTTCACCACGTTGGCCAGGATGGTCTCGATCTCCTGACCTTGTGATCCACCCACCTTGGCCTCCCAAAGTGCTGGGATTACAGGTCTGAGCCACCGCGCCCAGCCTCTTTTTTTTTCTTTGTAAAGATGGAGTCTTGCTATGTTGACCTGGCTGGTCTCGAACTCCTGAGCTTAAGTGATCCTCTCACCTTGGCCTCCCAAAATACTGGAATTACAGATGTCAGCCATTGCACCTGGCCAACTCTTGTTTTCTTGAGAAGGGAGGACCATTGGCTTTCTGGTTCTTCAAGAGTGCGGAGGCTGGGTGCAATGGCTGGCACCTGTAATCCCAGCACTTTGGGAGGCTAAAAATACAAAGATTAGTCTGTCATGGTAGCACGTGCCTATAATCCCAGCTACTAGGGGGGCTGAGACAGGAGGATTGCTTGAACCTGGGAGGGAGAGGTTGCAGTGAGCCGAGATCACGCCACTGCACTTGAGCTGTAAAATAAACAAAAACGATGGATCCTGTGCATTTTAAGGTGTTTAGGAGCATCCCTGGCCCCCACCCACGACATCCGACTAGCACCTTCCAGTTACAACAACATGTCTCCAGGGATTGCCATGTGTCTCCTGGGGGTGCAGCAGCAGCACAGTTGCCCCCAGTTGAGAAGCACTTGTCTAAACACTGGGGTGCTTTGACCTGGCCTCAGCCCCAGAGCTTTAAGCGTCATCTATACCTGGCCAGATGCAGTGGCTCATGCTTGTAATCTCAGCACTTTGGGAGGCTGAGATGGGAGGACTGCTTGGGGCCAGGAGTTTGAGACCAGCCTGGTCAACACAGTGAGACCTCATCTCTATACATTTTTTAAAAAGTAAAAAAAAAATAATAATAATACTTAAAAAATTTTGGCCGGGCATGGTGACTCACGCCTGTAATCCCAGCACGTTGGGAGGCCGAGGCACGCGGATCACTTGAGGCCAAGAGTTCGAGACCAGCCTGGCCAACATGGTGAAACCCTGCGTCTACTCTTGGCACGAGAATCACTTGAACCCAGGAGATGGAGGTTGCAGTGAGCTGAGATCACAACACTGCACTCCATCCTGGGTGACAGAGCATCAAAATACTAATACTAATACTAATACTAATACTAATACTAATACTAATACTAATAATAATATCCTTCTTACTCCCAAAACTTACCCTTCCTGGGTCTTCCCCTTCCACATTTATCTAATTAAATTAAATTAAATTAATAATTATTTTTGTTTGTTTTTTGTGTTTTTTTGTTTGTTTGTTTTTGAGACAGAGTCTCGCTCTGTTGCCCAGGCTGGAGTGCAGTGGCGCGATCTCGGCTCACTGCAAGCTCCGTCTCCCGGGTTCACACCATTCTCCTGCCTCAGCCTCCCCAGTAGCTGGGACTACATGCACCCGCCGCCACACCCGGCTAATTTTTTGTATTTTTAGTAGAGACAGGGTTTCACCGTGTTAGCCAGGATGGTCTTGATCTCCTGACCTTGTGACCCACCCACCTTGGCCTCCCAAATTGCTGGGATTATAGGCATGAGCCACCGTGCCCGGCCTATTTTATTTTATTTTGAGACAAAGTCTCTCTCTGTTGCCCAGGTGACCTTGGCTCACCGCAACCTCCGCCTCCCGGGTTCAAGTGATTCTCTTGCCTCAGCCTCCCTAGTAGCTGGGATTATAGGCGCCCGCCACCATGCCTAGCTAATTTTTTGTATTTTTAGTAGAGAAGGGGTTTCTCCATATTGCCCAGGCTGGTCTTCACCATATTGCCCTGACCTCAAGATGATCCACCTGCCTGGGCCTCCCAAACTGCTGGGATTACAAGTGTGAGCCACCATGCCTGGCTATGAGTTCTACTTCTGTTTTTTTTTTTTTTTTTTTTTTTTTTTTTTTTTTTGAGACGGAGTCTCGCTGTCGCCCAGGCTGGAGTGCAGTGGCGAGATCCCAGCTCCCTGCAACCTCTGCCTCCCGGGTTCAAGCCATTCTCCTGCCTCAGCCTCCCGAGTAGCTGGGACTACAGGCGCCCACCACCACACCAGGGTAATTTTTTGTATTTTTAGTAGAGACAGCATGTCACCATGTTGGTCAGGCTGGTCTCGAACTCCTGACCTCATGATCCACCTGCTTGGGCCTCCCAAAGTGCTGGGATTCCAGGCGTGAGCTGCCGCACCCGGCTGAGTTTCTGCTTCTAAAGGCTGCACAGATAACAGTGTCAAGCACAGAGTCTCCACTCGAGAAATATTGGAAGAATGAAAAACAATAAAAATGAATACACAGCACGCACTTACCTGTCAGGCCTCACATTAAATACATTTCACATTTTATCACATTTAGTCCTTCTATCTACCTATGAAACCAGTAATAAATAGCATTCACTCCATTCAACACTTGAGGCAACTAAGAGGTCAACTAACTCCTCAAGGTTTCTCCATAACCTGGACGGCCAAGATTCCAGGAAGGCTGGCTATTGAGTCCACAGGACTCAGTACATTGCTTCTGCTGAGTGAGGCTGACTTTACAGAAGTAGCAACTGAGGCCCCGAGAGGGGGAACGATTTTACACCGGCATGCTGCCACTATAATTAGAGGCAGGGCAAAACCAGGCTAAACAAACTACAATTCCCATGAGCCTCCGGGGGCAGGGGCCCAGCCAGGGACGCTGCAGGCTACCCTGGGGCCTGCTGGGAGATGTAGTTCTGCAGTGTCACCTGAGACTGGGCGGGCTCACTCACCGCAGGACATAGGAACGGGCAGGTGCGCTCTTGTAGATATACTGCGCCAGCCACCACTGCACCGTCATGTTCCAGTACCGCATGCCATCGCGCACCCGCACGCAGAAATCTGTGCTGTAGCAGTCGATGTTGCGGATGGTCTCATAGTCATACTCCAAGGAAGCCGCCTTCTCCGGACTGGGGGGTGGAGGATGAGGGTGGGGGACAGACATGCAGCTCAGCCAGGCCCCCTCCCGACGCCTGCTAGTGTCCCAGCCCCGGATGCTAAGGAAGGGATCCTGGCCAGGCAATGGCCCTCTGGCTGTCAGACTTGCTAGGGCAGCAAGGGAGGGTGGCCCAGAGGGTGCCTGTAGGGTAGGAAGGTGGGTGGGCTGGGTGGTACAGTTCACTGACAATGGGGTTCTTCTTCTTTTGGTACCTAATGGGGCCCGCCACAGCCATGAAAAGCCTTGAAGGGCTATGGTTGCTAAGCTATGAGTCCTTTAGCAACCAAACTCAGTATATTCAGAGAAGCCGCCAAGGATGGTCCCTTCTAAATTGTCGGACACTGCAGTTGCCAGGGAAGTTGTGGTTATCATCCCTAATAACAAGGTGCTTCACGGTTGCTAGGGAGATGTTCCAGGCGCCAGTGGGGTCCCCATGATCTTTGTTGCTAAGGAAAAGGCATTCCTTAGCAACAATGCCTAGGATGTTTAGAAAGGCTTTTAGGAAGGGGCTTTTTTCCTGGTCGCAGTGATTATTGGAGAAGTGTCACCTCTAGCAATACAGTGGCTCCCTCATCACTCATGTCGACAGCCCCAGCAGTGGGAAACACTGGCCCATATGAAGCCTTGGTGGCCTCTGATGACAGGAGGGGAGCCATCCTTTAGGAGTGAGGACCGAGCAGATTTAGAAAAACCTTCAATTCCTGCTTGGCTTTACTAGGGGGACATCCTCTCTCTAGCAGCTGGAGGTCAGGGCACGGTTATTAGGGCAGTGGTAACAAATTCCCGTGGGGGTGTCACTACCCCCACAACAGAATGGCAGTTTGTGACGACTAGGGGACAACCCTAGCAGGGAGTAGTAGTTCATCATTTACATCAACAGGCTGTTCCCCCAGCCGCAGTCCAAGCCCCTGGGGGAAGGCTGACTGCAGCTGTCAGGAACACAAGGGCAGTCTACTCCTGGTTGCCGGGGGTGCCATCTCCCTAGCAACACGGGGGCAATACTTCCTCAGCCACAAGAGAGTCCACAGCTATGGCCGTGCGACTTGCCTAGCAATGCAGGTGCCGGGGGGTGGAGCCTCTCTGGCAACAAGGGTCAACCCATAGTTTCCAGGGGGAGGTTTGGCTTCCTTAGCAACAGTGTAACTGTAGTTGGTAGGAATGGCGTGCCCTCTGCTGGGGAACAGCACTGGTCAGGGATTGGAAATTGCTATTTCCTTGCAGAGGGCTGCTGAGGGCTGCTATGTGAGGACATCCCACGGGGTGGAGCAGTGCTAGCTCCTAGCAACAAAGGGGCAGTGCAGGGAGTGCCGTATCTGCAGCAACAGAGCAAAACTTCTGGTAAAAAGGAGGTGAGCTACTGTTGCTAGGGATCCTGCTTCCCTAGCAAATAGTGGCGTTCTGTTGCTAGGGAACCGTTTCCCTAGCAACAGAGGGTGACCCACCACTAGCAAAGGATGGCATCCCCAGCAAGCAGGAACAATCTGGTTCTGGGGGGTGACACTTCTGTGGCAACAGAGGGGTGGCACAGGGTTGCTAAGTTACCACCTTTTCCTAGCGACAGGGGGCAGTTCACCACACTGCGGGGTGACAAGCGCTAGCAACAAGGGGCATCTGTCAGTACCAGGGATCTTTTCCCTACCGACAGGGGCTGGCAGGCCATGGTTGCCGAGGGGGCGACACTCTGCTCAAAAAGGTGGTGGCCCTGGCCCCTTGCTCCCCGCTCTCCTCCCGGCTAGGGGCAGAGCCAGCCCTTGGAGGTGGGGGCTGCTGGGTCTTGGGAAGCCTCCCTCGCGCCGCCTGACCTGCTGGGGGGTGGGCATTGGAGGGTGGGGCCGCCTCCGGCCCGGGCTTTGGCGGCCACGGGGTAGGCCCCAAAGCCGGCGGCAATGCAGCCGCACTCGGCGGCAATCCAGGCCACGTAGAAGCGCATGCGGAAGGCGAAGAAGACGGGGATCATGTAGAAGAGGCGGGCGGGCAGCGGGCGGGCGTAGAAGGCGTCCTCGCGCACGGCCTCCAGCGGGAAGAGGTGAGAGGAGAGCAGGAACAGCAGGCCGAAGAGCGGGGCCGGCCAGGCGCGGCGCAGCAGGGGCCGCAGGCTGGGCACTGCCCCGGGGAAGGGCTGCTCCAGCCAGTCCAGGTAGGTGCGGTAGCGGAAGAACGGGCCTGTGGGGCGGGGAGGGAGGGCCGCGGTCAGACAGGCAGGTGGGCAGAGCTCAAGTCTGCAGGAGGAGGACAGGGAGCTTGGAAGGAAGGTGGGAAGAGGGAGTGAGAGGGGCAGAGACTGGGCGCCGGGGAGACCCCAAGGGTAGGGACTGAGACCCTGAGAGATGGGGATAAGGAACGAGAGACAGGGGGGACAAGAAACTCAGAGAGACAGAGACAGTAACAGAAAAACAGACAGAGGGGCCGGTGCGGTGGCTCACACCTGGAATCCCAGCACTTTGGGAGGCCTAGCTGGGAGGACTGCTTGAGCCCAACAGTTGGACAGCAGCCTGGGCAAAACGGCAAGACCCCATCACTACAAAAAATAAAAATCAGCCAGGTGTGGAGGGCACCTGAATTCCCAGCTACTGGGGAGGCTGAGGCGGGAGGATCGTTTGAGCCCAGGCTGCAGTGAGCAGTGACTGAGCTACTGCATTCCAGCCAGGGAGGGAGGGAGGGAGGGAGGGAAGGAGTGAAGAAGGGAAGAAAGAAGGGAGGGAAGGAGGGAAGGAAGGAGGGAGGGAAGGAGGGAAGGAAGAAGGGAGGGAAGGAGGGAAGGAAGGAGGGAGGGAGGGAAGGAGGGAAGGAAGGAGGGAGGGAAGGAGGGAAGGAAGGAGGGAGGGAGGGAAGGAGGGAAGGAAGGAGGGAGGGAAGGAGGGAAGGAAGAAGGGAGGGAAGGAGGGAAGGAAGGAGGGAGGGAGGGAAGGAGGGAAGGAAGGAGGGAGGGAGGGAAGGAGGGAAGGAAGGAGGGAGGGAGGGAGGGAAGGAGGGAAGGAAGGAGGGAGGGAAGGAGGGAAGGAAGGAGGGAGGGAAGGAAGGAGGGAGGGAAGGAGGGAAGGAAGGAGGGAGGGAAGGAAGGAGGGAAGGAAGGAGGGAAGGAAGGAGGGAGGGAAGGAAGGAGGGAGGGAAGGAAGGAGGGAGGGAGGGAGGGAAGGAGGGAAGGAAGGAGGGAGGGAAGGAGGGAAGGAAGGAGGGAGGGAAGGAAGGAGGGAGGGAAGGAGGGAAGGAAGGAGGGAGGGAAGGAAGGAGGGAAGGAAGGAAGAAGGGAAAAGGGAAGGACGGAGGGAAGGAGGAAGGAAAGAAACTAGGAGATAGCTGTGGCACTTTAGCTACAATATGATGGTGGTCTGGCCTAGGGAGGAAGCAGTGTGATTCACAGAAGGGACCGGGGTTAAAATTTTTATATGTTCACAAAGGCCGTATGTTTAGGTCAATGTAGCATGGGAAGATAAAAGGAAAAAAAAAACAAATTAAAATAAATAAATAAGACCACATGTTGTATGATTCCATTTGTAAGCGCAATGTCCAGAACAGGCAAATCTTTACAGATAGAAAGTCAATTACTGGTTACCAGGGATGGATGGAGGTTTGTGGGATGATGGACATGGGGTTTCTTTGCAGGGTATGAAACTGTTCTGAATATAACTACACAATGGTCATGTCTGCACAACTCGGTGAATATACTAAAAATCAGGGAGTTGTATGTTTTGTGTTTTTTTTTTTTTCCAGGAAATTAAAGAAGCCAAGAGTTGTATGTTTTAAGTGGATGAGTATGTGAATTAGAGTTCCCTAAAGCTGTTATTGGAAAAAAAACCTTTGATGAGGTAAACATTAATGAAAAATATTTTCTTTTTAAAATTTCACATATATATACACATACACACATACATATATATACACACATGCACACACACATACATATGTATTTTTTGAGATGGAGTCTTGCTCTGTTGCCCAGGATGGAGTGCAGTGGTGTGATCTTGGCTCACTGCAAACTCCGTCTCGTGGGTTCAAGCGATTCTCCAGTTTCAGCCTCCCAAGTAGCTGGGATTACAGGCACACACCACCATGCCCGGCTAATTTTTGTATTTTCAGTAGAGACGGGGTTTCACCATGTTGGCCAGGCTGGTCTCAAACTCCTGACCTCAGGTGATCTGCCTGTCTCAGCCTCCCAAAGTGCTGGGATTACAGGCGTGAGCCACTGCGCCCGGCCCTTTTAATTTTATATTTATTTATTTTTTAAAAATAAAGGTTTAAAATAAAGGGACGGGATCTTGCTATGTTGGCCAAGTTGATCTTGAACTTTTGGCCTCAAGCAATCCTCTCGCCTCAGCCTCCGAAAGTGCTAGGATTATAGGCATAAGCCCCCACGCCCAGATGAAAAATATTTCCTTAAGCTGAAAGTGGACCCTAAGCCGTGAATATTTGTTGTCTGGGAAGCAAAAACATCAGGTTGACATAGATCTTTACCTCCTTTATCTCTTCTCTTTGCTCCCAATACGCTACAAGGAGAAGAGCAAGGAATTGCTTAGGTTGAGACAGCCAGCTTCTACCCCAAAGCAGCTCTGGTCCAGCGGAGGTGTGAGACGTAGACCCAGACACATGCCCACCCTCACAGCAGCAGATGCTAGGATGGAGGTTGCCCTGGGCAGGGCGGGAACACACAACAGGCACTCAGGGCGGAAGGGGACACAGGAGACAGAGCGGCAGAGTTGTTAGGGCAGCCCCACTCACCTGTCATGATTCCCACGTAGCAGTAGCTGTAGCTGAGTGTCTCCATCAGGGAGGGCACGTCGGGCAGCAGCCCCAGGGTGGGCCCCTTGCTGAAGCCTGAGGCCATTTCCTTCCTCTGGGCCAGATGCAGGTCCTGGACTTCACTGGCCAGGCTCACCAGCTGGGCAGAAGGGGGTGGGCAAGGGGCCAGGTCAGACTCTGGGCCCTTCCCCACACCCATCTCCCTTGCGCGGCTGCCCTCGGCAGCCAAGGGGTGCTGGGTGCCCGCAGCTCTGCCCATCTAGGTTGTGTGTAACGCCTCTAGCTGGGCGGTGTTCCCCAGGGCTCAGTCCCAGGCCCTCCTCCCCTTTCCCTGTTCTGTGCTTACCTGCTCTCACGCAATCACGGAGGTTTCGATACTATCCACACGCTGAGGACGCCCAAACGCTACCCCAGCCCCAGACCTATCCAATCAAGTGGCTTATTGGCATTTATACTCGGATGTCTCCAGGCACCCCAAACGCACTGGAAACGGAACATGATGTTACCCACCCCACAAGGTAGACCCTCTTCTAGTGTCTCCCCTCAAACAACAGGCCACCAAATTGTTCAAGCCAAAAATCTCCCTCACTCCCCAAATCCGATCCTTTAATCTCTCTTTTTTTTTTTTTTTTTTTTTGAGACAAGTTTTGCTCTGTCACCCAGGCTGGAGTATACTGGTGTGATCTCGGCTCACTGCAACCCCCACCTCCTGGGGGCGCAAGCAATTCTCATGCCTCAGCTGGCCAGGCTGGTCTCGAACTCCTGGCCTCAAGTGATCTGCCCGCCTTGAAATCCCTTAAGTTTGAGTCTGTTGCCTCTTTCCATCTCCACTACTGAGCTGAATATGTTGTACTCTCCACCCTTTCCCACCAGTCCCAAGGTCCACCCTATATCAATAGATCTCCTTCTTCCAGCTTGTGGCTGGGTTGTCAGTAGAAATCCCTGGCTGGAGACAAAGTCAGGAGAGGGAGGGTAGGGCTTTTATTCCCTTGTAAGATGGCCTTGGGCTGGCTGTCACCCTTGATAGATCATTTCAAGGTGGGTGGCTCTACACACCCTTTAAAAAAAATAATTTTGGCCGGGCGCGGTGGCTCACGCCTGTAATCCCAGCACTTTGGGAGGCCGAGGCAGGCGGATCACCTGAGGTTGGGAGTTCGAGATCAGCCTGACCAACATGGAAAAACCCTGTCTCTACTAAAAATACAAAAAATTAGCCGGGCATGGTGGTGAGTGCCTGTAATTCCAGCTACTCAGGAGGCTGAGGCAGGAGAATCGCTTGAACCTGGGAGGCGGAGGTTGCGGTAAGCCAAGATCGTACCATTGCACTCCAGCCTGGGCAACAGGAGTGAAACTCCGTCTCAAAAAAAAAAAAAAAAAAAAAATTTAGGGCCAGGTGTGACGGCTCACACCTATAACACTAGCACTTTGGTTGGCCTAGGCAGGCAGATCACTTGATGTCAGGGGTTTGAGACCAGCCCGGCCAACATGGTGAAACCCCATCTCTACTAAAAATATAAAAATTAGCAAGGCGTGGTGGTGGGCGCCTGTAGTCCCAGCTACTCGAGAGGCTGAGGCAGGAGAATCGCTCGAACCCGAGAGGCAGAGGTTGCAGTGAGATCACACCACTGCACTCCAGCCTGGGCAACAGAGCGAGACTCCATCTTTAAAAATAAATAACATTTAAAAAATTAATTTTTTGTAGAGACAGGGTCTCACTATATTGCCCAGGCTGGTCTTAAACTCCTGGCCTCCAGCAGTCCTCCCACTATGACCTCCCAAAGCGCTGGGATTATACAAGTATGAGCCACTGCACCAGGCCTACACAACCCTTTTTCCATCCAGGTACCACAACCTGACCCATTTCCCCTGGGCCTAGGGTTGGGAACGGCTCCTTCTGCGGGGCTGGGGTTCAGGCACCATCCCTTCTTGCTCTTCTACATCCTGCCCAATTGGTGGCCACTCCTTCAGTCATCCTAAATGCGCGTTTCCTGCTGCAACTCAGACCTACCCACAGCCAGCCAACGGCCTGTATCAAGCCACCACAGTTTGTCACCTGGACTCGGACAAAGGAGGATCCCTTTATCTGAGTCCATCCCATCTTGCCCTGTTCCACTTCAATTCTCCTTCAGCATCCAGAACGAGTTTTCTTTCTTTTCTTTTCTTTTTTTTTTGAGATGGAATCTTGCCCGGGAAGGCCCAGGCTGGAGTGCAATGGCGGGATCTTGGCTCACTGCAACCTCCACCTTCCAGGTTCAAGCAATTATCCTGCCTCAGCCTCCTGAGTAGCTGGGATTACAGGTGTGAGCCACCACACCCGGCTCATTTTTGTATTTTTAGTAGAGACGGAGTTTTACCATGTTGGCCAGGATGGTCTCAAACTCCTAACCTCAGGTGATCTACCCGCGTCAGCCTCCCAAAGTGCTGGGATTACAGGCGTGAGCCACCGCAGCTGGCCTAGAATGAGTATTTCTATTTGTTTATTTATTTTTGAGATGGAGTTTTGCTCTTGTTGCCCAGGCTGGAGTGCAATGGTACGATCTCAGCTCACCACAACCTCCGCCTCCTGGGTTCAAGCAATTCTCCTGCCTCAGCCTCCCGAGTAGCTGGGATTACAGGTATGTGCCACCACGCCCAGCTAATCTTTTGTATTTTTAGTAGAGACAGGGTTTCTCCATTTTGGTCAGGCTGGTCTTGAACTCCCGACCTCAGGTGATCCGCCTGCCTCAGCCTCCCAAAGTGCTGGCATTACAGGCGTGAGCTACTGTGCCCAGCCAGAACGAGTATTTTTAAACATTTAAAACTGGTCACATTGCCTCTTCTGGCAGCAAACCAAAAATCCCCTCTTCCAGCAGATCTCAATCCTCCACGGGAAGAAGTCCAATGTCCTCACGGTCTCCAGCCAGGCCTAGCACGGTGTCAGCCCTGCTGCCTGTTCCCTTTTGCTCGTCCCAGAAAGTGGATGTGGCTGGTGTAGCCTGTGGAACCCAGCCTGCTCCCCTCCACACATCCTGCGGCCTGAAATGCTCCTCCACGAACCCCTCTCTCATCCAACCTACTCCTGCCACCACTGAGCTCCCACAGGGCACACTGAATGCTGGGAAGGCCACTCCCTACCTAGCATGACTGCTGTGTTCACGGATAAGCCGCCAGTAGGAAACCATGACTCTGTGGGTCTGGGGTGGGCCCTAGGATTCTGTTTTTACCCCTCTTCCCAGGTGATTAGGAGCCAGACCTGGATGCCCTAGTTTTGTTCCCTTCACCAAGTACCTTCTCCCCAGAGCTGGTTTTTCTCCTTTGCAAAATAGCTGGCTACAGAGATTCAAGGACAGCATGTTGGTAAACCACCCAGCTGGGCCTCTGGCACACCGCAAGCACCCAATGGCACCTACTGTTACCTATGTGGGTTATTTCCTCACCCCAGGAGGAGCTGGGAGGTGAAGACCTGCCCAAGGGCATGTGAATGGGGAATGCTGTGCCCAGGGCAGCAAGTGAGGTGACGTCCCACCCCCAGGGTGTGTTGGAGGTAAAATCCCGGGGAGCCACTGAAGGGGGAGGTAAAGTGGGAGGTGAAGGGGCCCACAGGGAGGCTGGAGGGGAGTGGCAAGCCCCGAGTCTGACCTTCAGCGTCAGCAGCAGCTGGACGGCATTGGTGAAGGGCGTGGGAGTGGGCAGGCCCAGGAGGCTGAGGGCTCGGAAGAACAGGAGATAGGAGAAAGTCCAGGCCAGAGCCAGGGCGTGGCAGGAGCTGGGCAAAAGCAGGAGGCGCACTGTGTTGGGCACAGAAGTCTCGGCCTTGGCCATTCACTCCACGAGTCCAGCCACCAATCCTCCCCCAGCTCTCCCCATTCGTTTAGAGACAGAAACACAGAAGGGCAGAGAGGACAGGAGGGTGGATGTAGGGACCGAATGAGTATGATTGAAACAGTGGGAGAAGAGGCTCAGCCACATAGAAACACACACCAACAGAGAATGAGGTTAAGAGAAGCTTCAGGTGAAGACCCTGCAATCCTCCACTTTTTCTTTATTTCCGAGGTCCAGGGCTCAAGAAGAGAGAGGTGGATATGAATGAATATGAACGGTGGCCAGGCCAGCAGACACACTGTCCACCTCTCTCCATGACATGGATGTAGCGGACTGGGACAAACACACAGGGACCAGACGCAGAAGGCAGGGGAGAAAGAAAAGCAGATGAAGGCCGGATACGGTGGCTCACGCCTGTAATCCCAGCACTTTGGAAGGCTGAGGTGGGCAGATCACAAGGTCAGGAGTTCGAGATCAGCCTGACCAACATGGAGAAACCCCGGCTCTATTAAAAATTCAAGATTAGCCAGGCGTGGTGGAGCATGCCTGTAGTCCCAGCTACTTGGGAGGCTGAGGCAAGAGAATCGCTTGAACCCGGGAGGTGGAGGTTGCAGTGAGCCAAGATCGTGCCACTGAACTGCAGCCTGGGCAACAGGAGCGAAACTCCATCTCAAAAAGAAAGAAAGAAAGAAAAACAAACAAACAAACAAACATGAAACAGAGAAATGAGCTGATCAACAAGAGACAGCTAGAGATGAGGCAGAAGCTGAAAAAGACTCAAAGAGGAAACAGGTTGCTTCCCCCTCTCCCCTCCTCTCCCTCTCCTCCCTCCACCAAATTCTCACCAGGGCTGGGCCTGAATGAGGGCCCAGGTCCCGAGGATGGTGACCAGAGAATGCAAAGTGTGGGGGCCACAGGTGAACAGGGTGAGCCCCAGGCCCACAGCGGCTGCTCCCCATCTCTTCAGCCCAGGACCTGCAGGGGGAAGGGACAGCATAAGCCTGGAACCTTCCAGAGGGTCCCCCCCCTTTATTTTCCACTGGGGAGGGAGCCTGACTCACCGGCTTTCTTAAAGAGGAAGCCGATGGGGATGGAGATAAGAAGAACCACTAGATACGTCCATTCTTCAGGCGACATGGTCTGGGGGAGGGGCAGAGATTCACAGTGAGAACCCAGGAATCCAGGCCCCCTGCCTCCTCCCTCTTCGAGGATCCAGGAACCCAGCCTTCTAGACCCCAGTTTTTGAGGATGATGGAGTATGAGCCTCAGCTCCTCTCCTTTGAGAACCTAGCAACCCGGACTCCAGCCCCTTCCTCCTTGGAGGAGACAGGAATCCACCCCCAGCCCCTCCTTTGAGCGCACAGGCCTCCAGCTCTCCTGTCCTTGGAGAACCCAGGAAAGTGTGGGGATCTCCCAGCACCCAAGCCCCTCCTTTGCGAACGCAGAAATCAAAGCTACTCCCCGCACCCATACTGGGGACCCAGATTTGAAGACGCCCCTCTTTTAAAAACCCAGAAACGGCACCCCTCCCGGACCCTTCCTCTTCGACAGCCCAGGAATCTAGACCTCCGAGCCCCCTCTTCCAGCGAGGATCCAGGAACCCAGACCCCCTCTTTGGATCCCCCATCCCCCGGCCCTTGTGAAACCAGATATCCGGACCCCCCAGCCCTTCTTCGAGACCACCCAGAGGAGCCCGGGTCTCCAACCTGCACCTCCTTCGGAGCTCCACACCCCTCTCCTACTGAGAACCCGGGGATCGAACACCCTCCCCTCCCCAGGCCCAGGCCCAGGCCCAGCCCCAACCCGTCCCGCGCACCCCAGCGCATCCCCGGCAGAGCCACAGGCGGTTGCGCCAGCCCCGAGTTCCAACGCGCCTCCGGGGCCGCCCCGCACCCGCCAGCCCGCAGAGACCCTGCCGCCGTGTAACCTCGCCTCGCCACTGGGCGCCGCCACCCTGGCCCACCTGAGCTGCTCGCCGGGCAGGAGGCGGCCGAGCAGTCCCAGCCCGCTTGCCGCCGCAGCTCCGGCCACGCCTCCCCCGCCCAGCGCGCCCCCGCGCCGCCTGCTCCTTCTGGGCGCCCGCCGGGCTGCGCAGATCAGGCCGGGGAAGAAGCCACGGTCAGGGCCCCGGGCGGGCAGGGAAGAAGCCCCGGAGCAGAAGCCGAGAGCGCGAGTCGGCAACGGGATTCGAGTCCAGGTCCACACTGGGATCCGAGCTCCGAGTACGTGAAGGGGCGGGCCTTCGGGCTCGGAACAAGGAGGAGCCAAAAGCTTTGGACCCGAAGGGGAACAGACGGGCTCCGGAAAGGAGGCGGGGTCTGGAGCTCGCCGTGAGGAATGAGGCGGGGTCTCCCTTCGGGTTCCTTCGGGCACAATCGGGAGCTTGAGTTCTCCGGAAGCGGGGCCACAAACTTCGGCTCACTTCGGCAATAGTCGAGAACGGAGAGCTGAGGCCAGTGTGGGCGGAGCCACATGTTTCGGCTTTCTTCGGAGGTAGTCGAGTCCTTAGGGTCACTGTTCCGATGTGGGCGGGGCCACAGACTCGGCCGGATGTGGGTGGGGCCACAAGCTTCGGTTTACTTCGTAGATAGTTGGGTACAAGTGACGCTAGGATGATAGGCGGAGTCAACAGGTTCGCCAGATACCCATGAGTATTTACAAGGGGGCGGGGCGAAAGCGACTTGCCCTCAAAGGGGCGGAACCCCGAGGGCCGGCGTGCGCCTACGGGACCGGGCCAGGGTGACGATCCTCAAGTTCCCAAGTAGAGGAGAGGAAGCGGCAGAGGGAGGTGCGCTCAGTGGGGCGGAGCCAAGGTGGCCCCCGCGGGAGGAGGGCGGGGCTTCGGTCCTGCGAGGGGCGGGACCTGACTTCCCGCGGCGCTGATGGGGCGGGATGACGAAGTTGACGAGGGTGTCGGCATGAGGGGGTGGAGCAAGGAGCGCGTGGCGCGGTGCGCAGTGGGTGGCTCCACCTCGACTGCGAATTACTGTTTATGAGGTGACTCGCTGGTTCTATCGGTGGACAGTGGGACATTCTGAAGGGAGGCAAGGAGGCGGACTGAGCGCTCCCAATTGGGGTGAGCCCGCCCGAGCGGAGAGTGGACGGCGGGTGTCCAGGGGGCGGGGCTTTCGGCTGTGGGGTTCGGTCGTAGGGCGGGAACTCCCCAACTGGGGTGCGCTGGCGCTCGGAGGGGGCGGGGCCACAGGCCGCGAGGCTGCCGGGAGCCGATGACGCCCGAACGCCGAACCTATTGCGTCCGGGAGGAGGCGGGGCTACGGATTCGGCCGAGCCGAGAACACCCGAACGTCAAATTGCTGGCGTTCGGGAAGGGGGCGGGGCTGCGGATTCGGTGGAGCCGAGGACGCCCGAACGCCGAACTTCCTGTGCTCGGGAGGGGGCAGGGTTTTGTACTGTGGGAGTCTGAGAGCGAGGAGGTCCGAAAGCCGAATCACAGTCGTTCGGAAAGAGGAGGAGCGAAGGCTCGAGCGTCCGGAAGAGGGTGTGGCCTCGGCGGTGCCTTAGCCTCCAGAGCTTCTGACCGCTGACGGGAACACCCGAAGGGGGACGCCCACTTTGCAAGAGGGTGGTGCCAAAATGGACCTTTGTAAGGGGGCGTGTCGCCGCGCTTGCGGAGGTTTGTTTTTCACGCTCCAAGGCGCAATGGTAGGTACGGCAGTGCGGGCACAGAGCGGGTGCCGACCGCAGGGTCACAAGGGTAGAGCGGGACCCTGGGGGCTTGGCGAGGGGCGAGGGTCGGGGGCTTGTCTCCGGCGTCTCGTCTCCGGCGGCCGCGAGGCCTGGTGGGATCGCCCGGGGGCGGGGCCTGGCGCTCGGGCCCAGCAGGTGGTGAACGGCGGCTGAGCGAGGCCCCGCCCCCTGAGGCCTAGGGGCGGGGCTTCGCCGAGACCCCGGAGGCTTTGGGTGCGCTGCAGCGGTCTGCGGCGCGCAGCTGTTTCGGTAACTGCTTTGCCTCCCGGCTCCCGCAGGAGGATGCTGGTGGTGGAGGTGGCGAACGGCCGCTCCCTGGTGTGGGGAGCCGAGGCGGTGCAGGCCCTCCGGGAGCGCCTGGGTGTGGGGGGCCGCACGGTAGGCGCCCTGCCCCGCGGGCCCCGCCAGAACTCGCGCCTGGGCCTCCCGCTGCTGCTGATGCCCGAAGAGGCGCGGCTCTTGGCCGAGATCGGCGCCGTGACTCTGGTCAGCGCCCCGCGTCCAGACTCTCGGCACCACAGCCTGGTAAGGGGGCGGGGCTCGAACTCGGGTTCGGTGGGAGCGGGACCTGGGAGTCAAGTTTCCTGGCTTCTGAAGGGACCATAAGCTTGGAGGTTCCAGCGAAGTGTGCTTCTCAGGCCCTGACATCCTTCAAGCGCCAGCAAGAGGAGAGCTTCCAGGAGCAGAGCGCCTTGGCAGCTGAGGCCCGGGAGACCCGTCGTCAGGAGCTCCTGGAGAAGATTACGGAGGGCCAGGCTGCTAAGAAGCAGAAACTAGAACAGGCTTCAGGGGCCAGCTCAAGCCAGGAGGCCGGCTCGAGCCAGGCTGCCAAAGAGGATGAGACCAGTGATGGCCAGGCTTCGGGAGAGCAGGAGGAAGCTGGTGAGCATGGGAGGTGGAGTCCAGGGACCACGGGAAGGAGAGGAGAGATCTTTTAGGAATTTTAGCTGGGAATCCAGTGCCTGGGTCTCCCTGAGGGTGAGAAGACTTTACCCCTTGAATTTACCAAACTCTTCTCTGTACTCCCCACCAGGCCCCTCGTCTTCCCAAGCAGGACCCTCAAATGGGGTAGCCCCCTTGCCCAGATCTGCTCTCCTTGTCCAGCTGGCCACTGCCAGGCCTCGACCGGTCAAGGCCAGGCCCCTGGACTGGCGTGTCCAGTCTAAAGACTGGCCCCACGCCGGCCGCCCTGCCCACGAGCTGCGCTACAGTATCTACAGAGACCTGTGGGAGCGAGGCTTCTTCCTCAGTGCGGCTGGCAAGTTCGGAGGTGACTTCCTGGTCTATCCTGGTGAGTATGGGTTGGGGCCTCTGGTTGCTGTGCCTTTCCATACGATCCCAATGTATTCTGCGTTTTTCTTTTTTTTTTTTTTGTCTTAATAGAGGTGGGGTCTCTTGTTGCTTAGGCTGGTCCCTATTCCTGGGCTCAAGCAATCCTTCCACCTCGGCCCCCCAAAGTGCTGGAATTATAGGCCCAGCTGCATTTTTCTTTTTTGTCTCACTTTCTCTTAGCCTCTGAAATTCATAGACAGACAGGAAACATTTGGGAGCTCCTGAACTCATTGGGCAAGCAGTTTAACGACTTTTATTAAATGATTACTGTGATCCAGAAGATTCACTTAGAAGTAGTTAGACATCAGGCTGGGCGCAATGGCTCACGCCTGTAATCCCAACACTTTGGGAGGCCAAGACAGGTGGATCACCTGAGGTCAGGAGTTTGATACCAGTCTGGCCAACATGGTGAAACCCCATCTCTACTAAAAATACTAAAACTAACTGGGCGTGGTGGTGGGTGCCTGTATTTCCAGCTACTCGGGAGGCTGAAGCAGGAGAATCATGTGAACCCAGGGGGCAGAGGTTGTAGTGAGCCAAGATCGTGCCATTGCACTCCAGCCTGGGGGACAAGAGCGAGACTTTGTCTCAAAAAAAAAAAAAAAAAAAAGCCTAGAAGTGGAATAGTTGTGTCCAAGAGCATCTGTTTTAGAGTATCTATAGTGATGGCTGAAATGATCTCAGATCTCCTCCCAGTGGTCGTTCCCGTGGCGTCCAGCCGTCTGCCATTGGTCACTGCTTCAGTGCCTCTCTCCTTCCCCCAGGTGACCCCCTCCGCTTCCACGCCCATTATATCGCTCAGTGCTGGGCCCCCGAGGACACCATCCCACTCCAAGACCTGGTTGCTGCTGGGCGCCTTGGAACCAGCGTCAGAAAGACCCTGCTCCTCTGTTCTCCGCAGCCTGATGGTAAGGTGGTCTACACCTCCCTGCAATGGGCCAGCCTGCAGTGAACTCCAGAGACCTAGGGGATGTGGCTGTGTCGGCAGCAAGAGCCTTTCTGGATGTTCCCCAGCTCTTCTCTGGGAGTCTAGAACATCCTCCTACCTTTCTCCGCGGTTAGTTTTTGATTCCAGGTTTTCGAACACTACATCTTTTTTATGTTCTTCCTTGTTTCAAAGCACTTATTGGCTGTGTTTTTGTAGTTACCTATTTTCACACTGTGAGCTTCCCGAGAATGGGGCCTGGGTTTGATTCATCTGTTTTCTACAGGGTTTAAGTCTCAGGAGGTCTCAATAAACTTGGTATATAAATGTTCATGATTTGAATGTTTGCGACAGTCCTGGAACCCGTGGATGGTCTCATCTGCATGTACAGGTGAGAAAAAGGCCTGGAGGGGGGGGACTGACTTGCCCAAAGTCACACACTTAGTAAATAGCAGGCCTGGCCTTTCAAAATTGGTTTTTCTGACTCCTAAATCTGCACTCTTTCTACCTCACTAAACTTCCTCTTGAAAAGATTTCTATGAAATTTCCCAGATGCATACAAACGTTATAAATAAAAATATAGGCTGGGCACGATGACCCACACCTGTAATCCCACAGAACTTTTGGAGGCCAAGGCAGGGGGATCGCTTGAGCCCAGGAGTTTGAGACCAGCTCTGGCAACATTGTAATACCCAGTCTCTACAAAAAATAATTTAAAAAAAAATTAGCCAGGGATCCCTTGAGCCTGGGAAGTTGAGGCTGCTGTGAGCTGTGATTGCACCACTGCCCTCCAGCCTGGGAGACAGAGCAAGAACCTGTCTCAAAAAATATATATATGTGTGTGTGTATATATGTAAATATACACACATGTATGTATATATATGTGTGTGTATATATATATATATTATGAAAGGAAATGAGTATTGTAATTTTAGGAGTTCAGAGCCTGGGGAGAAAGGAAGGACTCTGGAAGGCGTTCTGCTTTTTCATGGCCTGGGTAGTGGTGGAGAATTTTTTTGATACTGTATATTTATATTTTAGACTCTTTTTTGGATGTGTTATATTCTGCAATTTTTATAAAAGCTAAAACACATGTATTTGTAAAAAATTTGCACTTATGAAATCATTTACCCATGTTTTTGCTTAAGAAAGTACTAGAACACTACCACTATTCCAATAATTACACCTTTATCTTATCAATGTGCAGTTTTATTTTGTCACGTTTATTTTGTCAGTGTAATACATTCACATGGTGAGTCTGGGCGTGGTGGCTTATGCTTGTAATCCCAGCACTTTGGGAGACCAAGGCGGGCGGATCATGAGGTCAGGAGTTCCAGAGCATCCTGGCCAACATGGCCCGCCTCTATGAAAAATACAAAAATTAGCCGGGCGTGGTGGCGGGCGCCTGTAATCCTAGCTACTCCGGAGGCTGAGGCAGGAGAATCACTTGAATCTGGGAGGTGGAGGTTGCAGTGAGCCAAGGTCACGCCACTGCACTCCAGTCTGGGCGACAGAGCTAGACACTGTCTCAAAAAAACAAAAACAAACAAAAACTTCCACATGGTAAAATTCTGGGGCTGAAAGTCTCCACCTCTAGTTCTTCCATTTCTTCCCCCCATGTTTCATTCTTTCTCTTTTTTGTGTGAATTGAGCAGCCTCTGGAACCAGAATAGGTTTAGAGAGACTCCCATCTCCCCTCTTTCTTGCCATTCCCAGTAAACAGACTTCATAGAATCTCAATTTCCTGTAAGTTTAGATTAATTTAAAATATGACACTGGGCCAGGCGTGGTGGCTCACACCTGTAATCCCAGCACTTTGGGAGGCTGAGGTGGGCAGATGAGTTTGAGATCAGCCTGGCCAATATGGTGAAACCCCATCTCTACTAAAAATACAAAAAAAAAAATTAGCCGGGCGTGGTGGCATGCGCCTGTACTCCTAGCTACTCAGGAGCCTAAGGCAGGAGAATCACTTGAATCCAGGAGGCAGAGGTTGCAGTGAGCCAAGATCGCACTACTACACTCCAGCCTGGGCAACAAGAGCTAAACTCCATCTCAAAAAAATAAAAAGAAAAGAAAAAAAATGACGCTAACCCCTGTCTGGCCAATACTCTCTTTGTGCCTGCTTCATAATTGGCTTTGTAAGTCTATTCTCCACCCTTTCTCCTCTCTACAACAAAGTACTTAGAAGTCTCATTCCCTCTGTCATGAGTCTCTCCTCTGAAAAGTTCCTCATTTAAAACTCCTGTGGCCAGATGTGGTGGCTCAGACCTGTAATCCTAGCACTTTGGGAGGCCAAGGTGGGAAGATCAGTTGAGCCGCTGAGCTCAGGAGTTTGAGACCAGCCTTGGCTGAACATAGTGAGACCTCATCTCATCTCTATTTAAAACAAACAAACAAAAAAAAACTTTTGTGACTGGTGTCCCCCCATGTTGTCAGTCAACAAATTCTATAGGTGCCATGTTCAAAGCACTGTGGATCCACAGTTAGGCCCCACCCTCCACCTTCACTGCCAGTATCTTAGAAAAACCAAACCATGGCTCATTTGATATTGATAGCTTCCTAACTCATCCCCTGCCTTCCATTCTTGCCCCTCTGTTGTCTGTTTTCAACAGAGCAGCCAGAATCATCGTTTTTTTTTTTGTTTTTTTTTTTTTTTTTTTTTTTGAGGCGGAGTCTCGCTGTCGCCCAGGCTGGAGTGCAGTGGCGCGATCTCTGCTCACTGCAAGCTCCGCCTCCCGGATTCACGCCATTCTCCTGCCTCAGCCTCCCTAGTAGCCGGGACTACAGGCGCCCGCCACCTCACCTGGCTAATTTTTTGTATTTTTAGTAGAGACGGGGTTTCACCATGTTAGCCAGGATGGTCTCGATCTCCTGACCTTGTGATCCACCCGCCTCGGCCTCCCAAAGTGCTGGGGTTACAGGCGTGAGCCACCGCGCCCGGCCAGAATCATCATATTAAAAGATAAGTCAGACCATGTCACAGCTCTGTCTAAAACTTTCCTGGAGTTTTCCATCTCAGAGTAAAACTCAAAGGTCCTACTTTGCAGCTTCCTCATGAACTGGCCATGTGCATTCTCTTCCTTGCTTATTATTATTATTATTATTTATTTTTTTTATTTTTGAGACAGAGTCTTGCTCTGTTGCCCAGGCTGGAGTGCAGTGGCACAA
Source organism: Homo sapiens (assembly GCF_000001405.40). Taxonomy (NCBI): domain Eukaryota; kingdom Metazoa; phylum Chordata; class Mammalia; order Primates; family Hominidae; genus Homo; species Homo sapiens. Next base: position 171,473 of record NW_003571056.2, read on the forward strand.
TCTCGGCCCACTGCAGCCTCTGCCTCCTGGGTTCAAGTGGGTTCAAGCGATTCTCCCACCTCAGCCTCCCAAGTACCTGGGATTACAGGCGCCTGCCACCACGTCAGGCTAATTTTTTGTATTTTAGTAGAGACAGGGTTTCACCATAATTGCCCAGGCTCGAACTCCTGAGCTCAGGCAATCCGCCCACCTCAGCCTCCCAAAGTGCTAGGATTATAGACATGAGCCACCGTGCCCGGCCAGCTTTGTTCCTCTTTACTGCTGGATATTCCATTGTATGGACATAACCCCATTTTATTTATCCATTCATCAGGTGATTGGCATTTGTTTCTAGTTAAGGACAAGGTTTTGGTTTTGGTTTTTGTTTTATTTACCCTTGTTCATGCAGTATCCCCAGGTCCAAGAACAGTTCCTGGCACACAGCAGTCAATACATTGTTGCTAAATAAATGAGTGGCTTAAACTATAATTTTTAAATCAGGGCTGAGACAATTTGGAAATTATAATTTCTCCTACATGACTTTCTAAGCATATTTTAAATAAATATACATACGTTAAGGTCATTTTTATTAATGAAAATTGTAGCATACTATGCACACTTCTGCATCTTGCTTATTGGATATGCCCAGGCTTGTCTCATTTTTGCCAACAGCTACATGGTTTTGCGTCCTATGGATGGGGCATAATTAGATTTTATTACACTTGTACAAAAGGAAAGGAATTCAGCTCCCCAAGCATGCCCAGCTGGTCCTTGGCAACCCATGATGGAAACCAAGGGTTCCTCTTATATTACCCGTGCTCCTTTCAGAGAGGAAGGGCTAGAGGGCTCCAGCCTGAGTGAGAGAGAGAGAGGAGGAAGCATGAGGGGTTTGTGGAAGAGGGCCTGGTGCCATATGACTGGACCATGCTTCTGAAGAGGATCAGGGTGAGGCCAGATCTCATCAGTTGACCCTTGAGCAACATGGGTCTGAACTGCTCGGGTCCACTTTTATGCAGATTGAAAAAAGTAAAGGTTACACAGAGCATGCCTGCCTCTCCTGCTTTGCCTTTTACCTCCTCCACCTCTGGCACCCTGAGACAGCAAGACCAAACCCTCCTCTTCTTTCTGCACCTCTGCCTACTCAGAATGAAGACAAGGATGAAGACCTTTATGATGATCCACTTCCACTTAATGAATAGTAAATATATTTTCTCTTTTTTAGAATTTTCTTAATATTTTCTTTTTTTTTTTTTTTTGAGACGAAGTCTCGCTCTGTCACCCAAGCTGGAGTGCAGTGGCGCGATCTTAGCTCACTGCAAGCTCCGCCTCCCGGGTTCACGCCATTCTCCTGCCTCAGCCTCCCCGGTAGCTGGGACTACAGGTGCCTGCCACCACGCCCGGCAAATTTTTTGTATTTTTAGTAGAGATGGGGTTTCACCGTGTTAGCCAGGATGGTCTCGATCTCCTGACCTGGTGATCCGCCCGCCTTAGCCTCCCAAAGTGCTGGGGTAACAGGCATGAGCCATCACGCCCGGCCAATATTTTCTTTTCTCTAGCTTAATTCATCATAGGAATACAGAATATAATACATATAGCGTATAAAATATGTGTTAATTGACTATGTTATTGGTAAGGCTTCCAGTCAACTACGAGTAATGTTTTTTTTAAATCCTGAGACAGTGTCTTGCTCTGCCAGCTGGGCTGGGGTGCAGGGGCATGATCTTAGTTCGCTGCTGCCTCAACCTCCTTGACTCAAGCAGTCCTCCCACCACAGCCTCCCAAGTAGCTGGAACTACGGGCACACACCACCACACCCAGTTAATTTTTCTGTTTTCTGTAGAGTCTGGGTTTTGCCGTGTTGCCCAGGCTGGTCTTGAACTCCTGGGCTCAAGTGCTCTGCCCACCTCAGCTTCCCAAATCCCACCTGGGGTTACAGGTGTGAGCCACGGTGCCTGGCCTAGTAGTTAAGTTTTGGGGAAGTCAAAAGTTATATGCAGATTTTCTTTCTTGATTTTTTTTTTTTTTTTTTTGAGGCAGTCTTGCTCTGTCGCCCAGGATGGAGTGCAGTGGTGCGATCTCGGCTCACTGCAATCTCCACGTCCTGGGTTCAAGCGATGCTCTTGCCTCAACCTCCTAAGTAGCTGGGATTACAGGCACCTGCCACCACGCCTGCCTAATTTTTGTATTTTTAGTAGAGACCAGGTTTTGTCATGTTGGCCAGGCTGGTCTCGAACTCCTGACCTCAGTTGATCCGCCGGCCTTGGCCTTCCACATAGTGCTGGGATTACAGGCGTGAGGCACCGCGCCCAGCCTATATGGAGGTTTTCGGCTGAGCTGGGGGTCAGTGCCCCTCGCCCCCAGACTGTACAGAGTCAGCTGTGTTAAGATATTAAGCACCTTCAGTACACAAGACTCTGTGCTGGTTTTCTTTTCTTTTTTTTTTTTTTTTACTCTAAATCATCAAACCCTATGAGGAAAGTCCTGTTACTTTCTCCCATTTAGCACTCTTGAAGAGGCTAATTTGCCTAAGATCAAGAGCTCGTCAGTGACTGCTGAGGTTCAAACGCAGATCTTTTTTAAGACTTGAGAACCTACAGGTTCAACCACCATTATAAAACCATCTCTGTAATCACGAGGCACCCGGAATTTGTGGAGCTTGGACTTCATCCTGAAGGGAGTGAAAACTTATGGAAGTTTTTTCCTTCCACGTTTCCCCCTTCCAGATGAATAATATACGCGTGTTCAAGATACAAAAATGCATAAAATTTGGCCAGGCATGGTGGCTTACACCTGTAATCCCAGCACTTGGGGAGGCTGAGGCGAGTGGATCACTTGAGCCCAGGAGTTCAAGACCAGCCTGGGCAATATGGCAAAACCCCGTCTCAAAACAACAAAACAAACAAACAAAAAACCCATAAAACTGAACAAGGTAGTTTGTAAGATATGGAAGTACAATGCAGATGACAATAATGACGATGGTAGCTACCACTAGGCGCTTTATTTATGCCACTCTCCTCAACACTGGATAGACTCTCACTTAATCCTCACAAGCTTATGAGGTAGGCGCTACCATCATTCGCCGTTTTACAGAGGAGGACGCTGAGGCACAGAGTGATTGAGAAACTTGTCGAAGGCACTGCAGCTGGCAAGTGGTGACGTGGCATTTGAATCCAGGCATCCGGATGGTGTGGATGCCGTGGAAGAGAAAGGGGCGGGTGGGACTGCTTCCTGAGGAGATAGTGACTGCCGAGGCAGCAGCGTAGGGAAGACAACTGAAGAACACGAGCTGTGGAGACAGACCATCGCATTCGGAGTGGAGAGATGGGTGTACAGACAGACAATAACCAGACTATATATAAAAAGAGAACTCTAGGTCAGGCGCGGTGGCTCACACCTGTAATCTTAGCACTTTGGGAGGCTGAGGCGGGTGGATCACTTGAGGTCAGGCGTTGGAGACCAGGAGTTCAAAACCCCGTCTCTACTAAAAATTTAAAAATTAGCCGGGCATGGTGGTGGGCGCCTGTAGTCCCAGCTTCTCGGGAGGCTGAGGCACGAGAATCGATTGAACCCGGGAAGCGGAGGTTGCAGTGAGCCGAGATCGCACCACTGCACTCCAGCCTGGGTGACGAGAGCGAAAAACTCCGTCTCAAAAATAAAATAAATTACTGATAATAGTACTAATACCCCTTAAGTGGCTATTGATAATAATAGTACCATGGGTGGGGGGGCAACTTCTCTGAGAGTGCTCTGTAAGTATGTATTGAAGATTGAGTAAATACATTTAAAATTCTTAGAACAGTATGTGGCACATAGCGTTCCAGAATGCCACATTATTGTTAGTGACAGAAATAATCTCGGCTGGGCGCGGTGGCTCACGCCTGTAATCCCAGCACTTTGGGGGGGCCACGGCGGGAGGCTCTCTCGAGGCCGGGAGTTCAAGACCAGCCTGGGCAACATGGCAAGACGCCGACTGTTAAAAAAAAAAAAATGCTACCCGGGCGTCGTGGCGTGTGCCTGTAATCCCAGCTACTGGGGAGGAGGTGGGAGGATCGCTCGAGCCCGAGAGGTTGGTCGGGGCCTCAGTGAGCCGAAATCACGCCACTGCACTCCAGCCTGGGCGACGGAGCGAGACCCTGTCTCAGAAAGAAAAAGAAAAACCACCGTCCAGGGGCGGAGAAGGAAGGTTCTCCCTACTTCTCAGGTTTCCACTCCCTGGCCGGAAAAAACCTAGTCCTCCCAGGTTAGCACGCCGCTCTAGCCCAGCCTCACGTCTCCACTGCTTCTCAGCCAGCCAACGCCTCTTCTGATTGGCTCTGACGTGCGTGGTGCGTGAAAACGTCACGAGACGCCGGCGTTACTATAAGAGCGCAGCCGTGGCGCTTGCGCGCCTCTTTCTCAGTGACCGGGTGGTTTGCTTAGGTGAGGTGCGGCGGTGTGCTTTTTCTCTAGGGTTTGGGTTGGATGGTGGCCCGGGCCTTCCGAGTTTCCATGAGTAAGCTAAAGACGTTAGGAAACAGAGCAGGGTGGTTGAACGGGAGTGCAGCACGGTTGTGGGGGCAGATACTGACTATGAGAGCGTTGGAGGTTATTCTCGCGAGATCGGATCTGGGCTCCGCGAGGTTTTGGCGTAGTTGTGGGACTGCGCAGGCGCCGTTTGGAGCCCTTACGCTCACACTTCTCTCCCGCGCAGGCGCAGACGGGGAAGCGGAGCCAACATGCCAGTGGCCCGGAGCTGGGTTTGTCGCAAAACTTATGTGACCCCGCGGAGACCCTTCGAGAAATCTCGTCTCGACCAAGAGCTGAAGCTGATCGGTGAGTGGCCAAGGCTTCCGGGAAGTGGTTCGGCTTCCGGGAGGCGGTTAGCACGTGGATGAAGGTGCCCATGTACTCTATCTAGTCCGTCCCCTAAATTTGGTACTATTCGTGGTTTAGGAAGGTTTTGTGATTCCAAAGCTGCCAGTCTAGTTGTTGTGCCAGTACGTGGGACTACACTTGTCCACCCCCTTCTCCCCACCAGGCGAGTATGGGCTCCGGAACAAACGTGAGGTCTGGAGGGTCAAATTTACCCTGGCCAAGATCCGCAAGGCCGCCCGGGAACTGCTGACGCTTGATGAGAAGGACCCACGGCGTCTGTTCGAAGGTGCGTATGGGAGTCCACAGCAGAGGGATGGGGTGCAGGGCTTGTGAGGTTCATTCTCCCTTCTGTTGCCTCTGTTCCAGTGATGAGAGTTGTGTCATTGGATAAATGGAACCAGCCTTCTAACTTTTAGTGGCACTTGTGAAGTAGGAAAAGTGTATCTGGATCAGTCTTTGCCCTGTTTCTTAGGTGTGTGGCTTTTTTGCCCAGTTATTGGACCTTCAGTTTAGTAATGACCAGAGCTAAAGATAGGCCTGGCACACCTGGGCACCCGTCTATATCTTTATATTCTGTTTATGTGGCCTGTTTGCTAGTGGATGAGAGTAGACTATGAAGTGGAATTTCTGGGCTAAGTGATGGTGATAACAGGGTTTGCACATTTGCTTGGTTTATTGTTTTTTTAATTAAGTTTTCTCGTTTTATTTAGTCTTTTGAGACGGAGTCTTGCTCTGTTGCCCAGGCTGGAGTGCCGTGGCGCCATTTCGGCTTACTGCAACCCCCGCCTCCTGGGTTCAAACAATTCTCCTATCTTAGCCTCCCAAGTAGCTGGGACTACAGACAGGCGCACGCCACCACACCTGGCTAATTTTACTTTTGAGACGGAGTCTCGCTCCATTGCCCATGCTGGAGTGTAGTTGTCGCAATCTTGGCTCACTGCAAACTCCGCCTCCAGAGTTCAAGCGATTCTCCTGTCTTAGCCTCCTAAGTAGCTGGAATCACAGGCATGGGCCACCAAGCCTGGCTAATTTTCTATTATTAGTGGAGATGGGTTTTCACCATGTTGTCCAGGCTGGTGCTTGTTTTTTTAAGCTGGTCAAGGACATTTAGGTGGTATTTAGCAAAGGCCTGAACAGGAGAGAACCTGTAAAATGTCTCAGGGAACAGCATTTCAGGTGATGACTTTAGGAGGGCATGCAGATCACATAGACTTAGGCTTACTTTACTAATTGTGGTGAAATACACATTAAATTGAAAATGTACCATCTTAACCATCTTGTTTTAAAATCTACTCTGAGATGCGGTGTTATTGGAGTGCTTTCTACAGCAGATTGGCATGACCAAGATTGGCATTTGTATATCCTGAGACGCTGCTTTTGCCTGAGTTTGGGTAGTCATGATTTATGGTGAAAAGCAGTCTCTACACCTGAGCCCTGACTGTTAGGCATGAGAGTGGTCATCCATGTTAGGCGTTGAGAAAGTCCTGGCGCATGTTTAGCTACAGATTATCACAGTTTGTCCCAGGCTTGCAGATGTTAGAAGCTTTTTCTTTAAATAGGCACAGGATCTTGCAGTGTTGACCAGGATGGTTTCCAACTCCTAACCTCAAGTGATCCATCCACCTCAGCTTTCCAAAGTGCTGGGGTTACAGGTGTAAGCCACCGCACCTGACCCTTTCATTCTTTTCGTCAATTTGTAGACCCCGTTGATAATCTCATGAAAGTGCTGGAGATCCCTCCCCCATAGATACTGATGCTGGGTGGGAATTCATCCCAGGGTTCTGTGGGGAGTGGGCTATAGCTGGTTCTGGTTTTAGGGAGGACTTTCTGGACATAGATCCTAATTGCAATGAAACTTACAGTCATGTGAGAAAGCGGTGCAGGTGTCTGAGGGTTATTTGTGGTTTTCCAAGGCAGAAGTGAAAATTCCCAAGGGGTACACAGTTGTTCAGGTGAGTACACTTTCTAGTAAATGAAGCCATCTAGCCTAGTCAGGGACAGGAAGGAGGAGCTTGGATGTTTGCTCTTTGGTGTAATCCTGCCTTGATTCAGATCCAGCCTTTCCCACTAAGATGTGTGACTAGCGAGATTCTGAGTCTCGTCTGTTAAGACTGAACAGCCGCCAACATTTGGCTGGCAGTTAATAATCAACAGATAGAGGCCAGGCGTGGTGGCTCATGCCTGTAATCCCAGCACTTTGGGAGACCGAGGTGGTCGGATCACTTGAGGTCAGGAGACCTCAAGTCAGAGACCAGCCTGGCCAACGTGGTGAAATTCCATCTCTACGAAAAATACAAAAATTAGCCGAGCATGGTGGTGTGCCTATAATCCCAGCTACTCGGGAGGCTGAGGCAGGAGAATTGATTGAACCTGGGAGACAGAGACTGCAGTGAGCCGAGATCCGCGGCACTGCACTGGGTGACAGCGAGACACAAAACAACACGAACTCCCCCCCCACCCCCCAGCACAACTGTGAAGAAATGTAGGAGTCATGTCCATTTTTCAGATCAGAAATGAAGGCATTGTAATACCTAACTGCCTTGTATGATGACAAGGACCTGTTTCCCACTGAGGTCCTCCCTGGTTTGCATTTTTAAAGCATTTTAAATTCTCTTGGTGCATTGGCCCAGTGGAGCCTCAGCAGTAGGACATGCTTTTGTTGAAGGTGTAAGGTTTATTGTGCTGTTGAAAACTATTGTCTTCATACTTAAAGGTTTTGCCTGTGGCTGACTCTCCTGTTCTTTTTCAGGAGATAGATGGTTCAATAAATGTGGGCCTGAGTGCAGTGGCTCATGCCTGTAATCCCAGCACTTTGGGAGGCAGAGGCAGGCGGATCACCCGAGGTCGGGAGTTTGAGACTAGCCTGACCAAAGTGGAGAAACCCCTTAGTCTCTACTGAAAAAATACAAAATTAGCGGGGCGTGGTGGCGCATGCCTGTAATCCCAGGCTGAGGCAGGAGAATCCCAGGAGGCGGAGTTTGCAGTGAGCCGAGATCACGCCATTGCACTCCAGCCTGGGCAACGAGAGCGAAACTCTGTCTCAAAAATGATAATAAATGTGAAACATTTTTTTAAAATCATGCCTTTGTTTTGCCTAATGGTGACGATCTCACTTTGTCTCCCGGGCTGGAGCACAGTGGCATGGTCGTGGCTCACTGCAGCCTGGACCTCCTGTGCTTAAGTGATCCTCCTCAGCTCTAGTAGCTGGGACCACAATCCACCATGTACCACCATGCCCAGCTAATTTAGTTTTACTTTTTTGTTTGTTTTGGTACAAATGCGGTCTCACTGTGTTGCCGAGGCTAGTTTCAAACTTCTGGACTCAACTGATCCTCCTGCCTCAGCCTCCCAAAATATTGGGTTTATAGGCCAGGCATAAGGGACTGTGCGTGGCTTAAGTTTCCATTTTCTAATGTAAAGACAAAAAGGCGTGAAGTGTCCAAAGAGGTAAATGATCCCAAACTCATTTTCATTGCCTTTTGGACATGTTTTTGTATTTTGATATTCAGGTGTTTAAATATCCTCTGATGTTGAGTTAAAAAAGAACAAAAATTGAAGCCATAGTATGACATAGGATGCTGGAAATGCACACAGCTGGTGTTTCCATTTTGATTCTCCCTACCTGTAACTGCTCCCTACTGGGAAAACTTTGGGTCCTCACAAAGTGAGCTAGCTTTCTTTCAAACTTTGCTTGGAGGGTAACAGTGCCAGGAATATCAGAAGTGCCTGATGCATGTAGATCTATTTATGAAAGCTTGCTTGAATGGTTTGCTGTAACTAGTAAGAGCCACTTTTTATAAAAGTGCACATAAGGAAAAAAGGTTGAGGTGTTTACCCCAGTCAAGGGGCAGTTGATTTGCTGAAGGCGTGTGGGATTATAGCAGTGAGCGGGAGCCTAGGGGATGGCGTTTGCCCCCAGGGCCCTGGGGCTGTGGGCAAGGGCAGTCCAGAGTATTAGCTAGAAGCCATGGCTTTGGACAGGGTAAGGAGCAAGCCGTCCTGAGCCTGGGGTTGGAAGAAAGGTGTAGTAGGGCATCTGTTGGATATTTTATGCAGTGCATTGTTAGGTTATATACATACTAGATCTATTTTTGGTGGAAAATTTTGTACAGAATAGTAAAATGAATGACATGTACTTAGCTGGAAAAATTCTAGTGTTAGAAATTACTTTTCTCTCCTTAAAAGATGTAGATACTGCTATTTATGGCACGGAATGTGATTCAATCTCACATCTGCTTAATCAGAAGAGCTTTCTGGGCTGAGGATATGAACTCTTCAGCACTGTGCTTTGTTACGGTGGTAGTAGCTTAATAGCAGCTGCATTTGGTCTTTTGCAGACTGAGTCCTTGTAAGGAGGTGATTTCCTTTACTCTTGCTAAGAATGTGGAGCGAGGGATGTATGCTCTCAGATGAGGAGGCAGGTGTATTTTGCCCTCCTGTCATCTGCAGTTTACTATGAATGATGACCTGACAACCATAGGGTAGTTTGGTTTTTTGTATTGTTTTGTTTTGTGACAGGGCCTCACTCTGTCGCCCAGGCTGGAGTGCAGTGGCCCCATCTCAGGTCACTGCAACCTCCGCCTCCTGGGTTCAAGCAGTTTTCCTTCCTCAGCCTCCTGAATAGCTGGGATTACAGGCAGTGCGCCAACGGCCTGGCTAATTTTTCGTAATCTTAGTGGAGACGGGCTTTCGCCATGTTGGCCGGGCTGGTCTCTCAAACTCCTGACCTCAAGTGATCCGTCTCGGACTCCCGAAGTGCTGGGATTACAGGTGTGAGCCACCACTCCCAGCCCGTAGGGTGGTTTTGACAGTGACATGGGTCACGGTGATGGCGCTGTACTACTTGTGCCTCACCGCCGCGGCATGGAGCTACCAAGAGGCGGAGCCAGGATTTGAACCCAAGAAGCCTGAGGTCAGAAGGCGGAATCAGTGTTTCCTCCCACTCTTCCCAGGCAACGCCCTGCTGCGGCGGCTGGTCCGCATTGGGGTGCTGGATGAGGGCAAGATGAAGCTGGATTACATCCTGGGCCTGAAGATAGAGGATTTCTTAGAGAGACGCCTGCAGACCCAGGTCTTCAAGCTGGGCTTGGCCAAGTCCATCCACCACGCTCGCGTGCTGATCCGCCAGCGCCATATCAGGTACCACCTCGGATGGGCACCTGAATCTTCCTCCACCTGCCCCTCTGATGGTTGCCCTCACTAAGCCTGCTGTCCCTATCTCCTATGCAGCCCTCGGAGGTGATGGGTGTGAACTCACCCAGAGGGTACAGATTCACCCTTGCACACAGCTCACCAGGGAGCTGGGGCAGCCTCTTGCCCCAATAGCCCAGCGCAAGGGTCACTGCGGCTCTAGCCGTACACCTTGTGAAGGCCTCTGCCAGGCATGTGGGCAGCTGGACAGGTAACAGCTCTTGGTGTCCCCAGTGGAGGGAGAGAACCAGCCTCACCTCGCTTGGGTGGTGGGTTCAGCTGTCTCCTGGCTCGCTTGTGAAGTTGATTCCAGACCCCGATCCATGACTGCGTTCTGGGTACTCAGTGTGCCCTTTCTGTAATGTGGCACCATTGAGGGGGAGGAGCTGTACAGAAAGAGGGCAAGATGTTTGCGTTTAGAATCTTCGCCCCAGCCCTTCACTAACCCTGTGAGCCGTAGGCAGAGCCTTGTGTGTCAATGCTTTCGTCGGAGACGTAGCCTCGGGTTGCTGTGTTATTGTGGGCATTGCTGCTGCACGTGGTAATACAGCTCAGTGTCAGGTGTGGGGTTCACGATATTTCAGACTCGGAACTTGGGGGCTCTCACATGGCCATCTCATTTGCTTTGTGGTCTTAGGTGGGATACTTTCAGATTTCTCCTATAAAATGGGGTTGAGAAAGTCATCTGAAGCATTTTTGGGGATTAAGGTGATACCCTAAAACCCCGGAGGGCGCACGTAGGATCAGGTGCACCCTTCCTGCAGCGCCTTGGTGTCTGCAGCCGTGGCGGCCTCACGGGGTGGGTGGAGAGGAAAGAGTGGTGCGGTAGCTGGGGTTAGCGTCCGTTTCTCCTCCAGTCCACCTCACCTTGTCGCTTCTTCCAGGGTCCGCAAGCAGGTGGTGAACATCCCGTCCTTCATTGTCCGCCTGGATTCCCAGAAGCACATCGACTTCTCTCTGCGCTCTCCCTACGGGGGTGGCCGCCCGGGCCGCGTGAAGAGGAAGAATGCCAAGAAGGGCCAGGGTGGGGCTGGGGCTGGAGACGACGAGGAGGAGGATTAAGTCCACCTGTCCCTCCTGGGCTGCTGGATTGTCTCGTTTTCCTGCCAAATAAACAGGATCAGCGCTTTACAATTGGTGTGTGGGGGTCTCTCATCCTTGACTCTTTCCCCTGCTCTAAACATGCAGCCTTCCCTGGGAGGCTCACTCACTTGGGAGTGCCTACCAGCTAGTGGTCCCTGGCCTCTCAGTACTATTCTACAGTAGTGAACACACATCTTTACCAGAAACTTCTGTCATCAGGGGAGAGACGAGTGGTATTTTTGGAAAAACTGTGTCAAAACCAGAAGGAAATTCCAAGTAAGCCGGTGTTTGCATATAGGGGTGGGAGGGAGCCGGTCATTGCTAGGCAGGGCAGGCGCCGAGTGGAGGTGGGGGCCTTCCCTGCCTGCTGGCCCTGGGACCCTGACCCCGCCAGGCAAGAGACAGGTGGGACGGGAGCTGACCAGAGGCTGACGGGTTGCTGGGGAAGGTGAACTGTTGGTGATTGTTGGGGAACACTTCACAGAATTTGCTTGCTAGTTTCAAAGCTTGTGATGCGGTTGATGTTGGGCAAGTTCCCAGTTTTGTCTTCACATGTAGGGGAAGTGGGTTAGCGTAGGAGAAGGGGCGTTGAGGGAAGTCTGTTCCTCCTCTCCGCGTTCAGTGCTTCTGTGGACTCACGGTCAAGAGGTTGGCAGGCTTCCCTTTTCTCAGCCTTGTTGATCATCTGTGTTGGGAAGGGGTTTGGTTTCTGAGGAAGTGAGAAACCTGAAATTGTGCAACCCCCTCAGGCTGCAGGCTGTAGTTGATTGGGTCCTTATCTGGAGGCCTTCAGGGTTTGAGGTCAGGGCAGGGACAGTTCTGGAACACAGCTAAGTTACTGTAAACCACGTGGAGAAGTCCATTGCGGCTTACTCAAGCTAGGTGGTTGGCCCTTCCTTCCCTCAGCGTTGCTACTTGGGAAATGACGGTGGTCTTGTGTCCATGGGGCCAGCTGCTGCACCATCTGGGCTCACTGTGGTCTCCTTCCTTGGAGCGTGGGGTCTGGGCTAGTGGATGGCCGGGGCAGCGTACTCACTGGGCTCCTGGGAGCTCCCCTGGGAGGAAGAGACTGCAGTTGTCTCTGGTCTGAGAGGTGGTGGCTCACCTGGGTGTAGCTCACAATTGCGGAGCTCCACGGCAGCCTGGAGGGAGGGGAGAGTGGGAGTTGAGGTATGCGGTTCTGGGGAGAAGCCTACGGGCTTGGAAAGGAAAAGGGTCTTCAGGGCTCTGTCTACAGAGGCAGCGAGCGGGGCAACAGAGGGAGACTCCATCTCAAGAATTTGTAGAGATGGAGTCTCAATGTGTTGCCCCGGCTGATCTAAAACCCTTGGCCTCAAGCAATCCACTCGCCTCCCAAAGCGCTAGGATGACAGGTGTGAGCCACAGTGCCTGGCCTGCGTGGGTCTGTTTAATCTCCGGGCCTCTTGCTCTCCCTTTCTTGGTGATCTCCTTGGACCACATCCCTGTATCATTCTCTCTCTCGACCCTGAGCCCAGGGTCCAGAGCAGAGAACGGGATGGGGTCTGGGTAGGGGCCCCTCACTTGCAACCAGGATGTTGGGTGGGGGCGACGGGGGACCGACCTTGGGCAGGAGGCATTGTGTCCACCGCAGCATCTGTGCTGGCCCCCAGGGGGGTGGCTCGCATGGCCCAGGGGGACGTCCAGGAGGTGCTGCCCATCTAGGCGCTGGCGGGCTGGGAGCCCCTTGTCCTGGTCAATGCAGAGCTGTCAAAACCGGCCTCTGAGTGATGCTGAGGGGTCAGGCTGTCTCCAGAGAGCACCGGCGATCCCGGCTGTGCTGAGAGGGAGGGCTGAGGGCTGCCTGGACGCCCCTGAGATGAGGCGACTGGTATTTAGGGGATGCGTACTCTCTGGGGCCCGCTGGGGCCTGCAGGGAGAGCTCTCACCGGTCTCAACTCCATGCCTTCTGCCTTGTGCTTCTGGCCCAAGAGGTCGGGGTCACTGACCACCCCGTGTCCACCTAAGGCTTCCCTGGACACACAGCAGGGAGATGGGCAATGAGGGTGGGGGTTGTGGCCCTGCCTGTCACGGTCCCCAGCAGTGCAGATGAATTAGACCATTGAGCCACAGAGCCTGGAGGGCAGATGGGTGTGCTGGTATAAGGAGCCCCGGGCTCTGTGTTACAGGTCATGTGTTCTCACCAGTGGCCTTGCAGGAGGGGAACAGCCCCTTCCCCAGGGCCTCGCTCTGCTCCCCCTGAAGGATGGGGCTGAGGGGACAGCAGGCTCTGGGGGCCTTTCAGACCACATTTGAGTCAAAATTTGACTTCCCCATACTCTGCCTGCTTCCACCTCACCCAACTCTCATCCAGGGGTGACCCTTGTTCTAGCACATGAGGCTGAGGCCAGAGAGGGCAGGGCCTTAGGACACAGCCCAGTCACTGTTCTAATTCTAGAGGCAAGCCCCTTCCATGTCCTGAGCTCTGTAATGCATCTTTTCTTTCATGAGCCTTGCGATCAGGCGATGTTTATTCAGTGGTTACCACATCCAGGCATGCTGCCAGGAGGAGGGGAGTCGTGGGTGAAGCTGATAGGATTCCTGCTGGACTCACAGAGCCTGGGTTAATGACACATTACCCATGTTTAGATAGGAGGTAATTCTGCTCCGGTTTCGACAAGTTGTAGGAAAGGAGGAAAACATGCTCATAGCAGGTGAGCAGCGTACACCTGTCATGGGAGTGAGGGGTCCTTCTGGGGGATGGAGAGACCAAGACGTGAACAGTGAGTGTGGCACGCAGAGTGTCCTCCACCAGAAACAGTGTGGGCTGTTCTCAGACCTGAGAGTGAGCCAAAGGAAGCTGGGACCTTGTCATTCAGGGGACTTGTGCACCGTGAAGATTTATTGGATGCTATGTTTAAGAAAATGGAAAATCCGGCCCGGCACGGTGGTTTGCACCTGTAATCCCAGCACTTTGGGAGGCGGAGGTGGGTGGATTATGAGGTCAGGAGTTCGAGACCAGCCTGGCCAACATGGTGAAACCCCGTCTCTACTAAAGACACAAAAAATCAGCCAGGTGTGGTGGTGGACGCCTGTAATCCCAGCTACTCGGGAGGCTGAGGCAGGAGAATCACTTGAACCCGGGAGGTGGAGGTTGCAGTGAGCCGAGATTGCGCCACAGCACTCCAGCCTAGGTGACAGAGTGAGACTCCATCTCAAAAAAAAAAAAAAAAAAACCGGGGAATCTTTAGAAAGCACAGTGGAAACAGATGTCTGTTTTTACAAGCCCATCACTGCACAGAATGCAATATGGGAGGGTTTCACTAATGGTTAACCATAACCACACTCCAGCGTGAGCCCAGCCACTAGGCAATGTGCTGATAAGGATTCTAAGTGGTTTATGTGGACTCCTCATGACCTATGACACACATACGTTTACAGTGGAGTGGAACGAGGCAGGAGGGCTTCTCTTTGTCATAGTCTACCAGCTCTGCAGAGGTGTCAGCTACATCCGGATTGGCTCAGGGAGCGGCCGTCAGAAGACTTACACGTGTTTAATAACTGAGGTTGTGTGTGTGTGGCAGGGGGTGGGTAACTGTGATGAGTTTGGTGTGGCAGAGGGGGAGCCATAGCCTGTGAAGCTGGAAAGTGTATCAGGTTTGGTCATCAACAGGCTTGAACATGAAGTACAGGAACGTGCATCTTATTTTTGGAAGATGGAGCCCCGTTGGGGGAATTTGAGCAGTGGAGGGTCACAGCCAGGTAAGATGGTCAGAAGAGGCCTCGGAAGTGATGAGAGGGATGGACTGGAGTAGGGATGGGAGCCAGTAGGGGGCCAGGAGGGAGGTTGGTGCAGTGCACAGACAGGGCGTCCTCGGTCCCCAGCTGAGCTTAGACTGTGGGGATGGACCAGCGGACACGGGTGGAGCCGGGTGAGGAGGGATGTGGGCAGAGAGGTTTGGATTTGTTCACTGTGTGTGAAGCAGAAGAGTGTGAGGAGCTTTTCCACTCTCTGCCTTGGTTGATGGGAGGAACCAGTGGGGCTGCCGCAGGACAGACGACCCGCGTGGGAGAAGGAGGCTCGGGGAGATGTTTCTAAGACTTAACTTGCTCACAGAGGGAAGCACAAGCTTCCTTCGAGCCTGGGCTTTGTTTTCCCAAACAGGTCCCTTCACTGACTTTCTTTTTTGAGACGGAGTCTCGCTCTGTCGCCCAGGCTGGAGTGCAGTGGCGCGATCTCGGCTCACTGCAAGCTCCGCCTCCCGGGTTCACGCCATTCTCCTGCCTCAGCCTCCCGAGTAGCTGGGACTACAGGCGCCCGCCACCACGCCCGGCTAATCTTTTGTATTTTTAGTAGAGACGGGGTTTCACCGTGCTAGCCAGGATGGTCTCGATCTCCTGACCTCGTGATCCACCCGCCTCGGCCTCCCAAAGTGCTGGGATTACAGGCGTGAGCCATCGCGCCCAGCCAACTTTCCTGTTAATGAGTAGCACTCTTTTTTTCTTTCTTTTCTTTCCCCCTTTTTTTTTTTTTTTAGACATGGTCTTGCTCTGTTTCCCAGGCTGGAGTGCAGTGGCGTGACCCCAGCTCACTACAACCTCCACCTCCTGGGTTCAGGTGATTGTCCTGCTTCAGCCTCCCAAGTAGCTGGATTACAGGCACGTGCAACCACGCCTGGCTAATTTTTGTATTTTTAGTAGAGACAGAGTTTCACCATGTTGGCCAGGCTATTCTCGAACTCCTGACCTTAAATCATCCTCTTGCCTTGGCCCCCCAAAGTGTTAGGATTACAGGCATGAGCCATCATGCTCGGCCTCTTTTTTCTTTTTCTTTTTTTTTTTTTTTGTTTTTGAGACAGAGTCTTGCTCTGTCACCCAGGCTGGAGTGCAGTGGCGTGATCTCAGCTCACTGCAGCCTCCACCTCCCAGGTGCCAGCGATTCTCCTGCCTCAATCTCCCAGTTAGCTGGGATTACAGATGCGCGCCACCATATCCAGCTAAATTTTGTATTTTTTAGTAAAGACAGAGTTTTACCATGTTGGCCAGGCTGGTCTTGAACTCCTGACCTCAGGTGATCCGCCCGCTTCAGCCTCCCAAAGTGTTGGGATTACGGGCATGAGCCACCATGCTCGGCCTCTTTTTTCTTTGCTTAAAAGATGAGGCCTGTTGCCCAGGCTGGAGTGCAGTGGCACTATCATAGCTCACTGCAGCCTTGACATCGTGGCTCAGGTGATCCTCCCGCCTCAGGCTCCCGAGTGGCTGGGACTACAGACGTGCACCTCCACAGCCACTACTTATTTTTGTAGCGATGTCTATCAGCTGGTGAATAGAGAAAGTGTGGTATATCCTTACAACAAAATATTATTCAACCGTAGAAAGGAATGAAGTACTCATACATGCTACATGTGTGAACCTTGATAATATACTAGATAAAAGCAGTCAGGAAAAAAAGGTCACATATGACGTTATTTCATTTATAAGAAGTATCCAGCCTGGGTGTGGTGGCTCATTGCCTGTAATCCAGCACTTTGGGAGGCCAAGGCAGGTGGATTGCCTGAGTTTAGGAGTTTGAGACCAGCCTGGGCAACATGGTGAAATACCATCTCTACCAAAAATACAAAAAATTCACCCGGCATGGTGGCATGTGCCTGTGATCCCAGCTACTTGGGAGGCTCAGGTGGCAGGATCGCTTGAGCCTGGGAGGCAGAGGTTACAGTGAGCCGAGATCACACCACTGCACTCCAACCTGGGTGACAGAGTGAGTCCCTGTCTCAAAAAAAAAAAAAAAAGGTATTCAAAGAAGGCCAATCGATAGAGGCAGAAAGTAGGTTAATTGTTGCATGGGATTAGGTGGGAGTGATTGCTTGATGTAAACTCGGTTTCCTTCTCGGTATGATAAAAATGTTTCGGAATGAGATAGAGGTGATGCTTACACCATATTGTGAATTTACTAAATGCCACAAAATAGAGTTGTATCTCAATAAAAATATATTTGTTGGGCCGGGTGCGGTGGCTCACGCCTATAATCCCAGCACTTTGGGAGGCAGGCAGATCAAGAGGTCAGGAGTTCAAGACCAGCCTGGCAAAACCCTGTCTCTACTAAAAATATAAAACTTAGCCAGGCGTGGTGGCATGTGTCTGTAATCCCAGCTACTCGGGAGGCTGAGGTAGAATGGAGCGAGACTCCGTCTCAAAAAAAAATATATATATATGTAAATATATATATGTTGGGCATAGTGGTGCACACATGTAGTCCCAGCTACTTGGGAGGCTGAGGCAGGAGAACCACTTGAACCTGGGAAGCGGAGGTTGCAGTGAGCCGAGACTGCACCATTGCACTCCTGCCTGGGCAAAAAGAGTGAAACTCCATCTCGAAAAAAAAAAAAACCACACACACACACGTAGATAAAATCAAATATTCTGTATTCCATAAATATGTACAATTATTATTTTTCAATTAAAAACTCTTAAGCTGGGCACAGTGGCTCATGCCTGTAATCCCAACACTTTGGGAGGCGGAGATGGGAGGCTCTTGAGCCCACAAGTTTGAGGCCAGTTTGGGCAACATCGTGAGATCCCATTGCTACAAAAAAATTTAAAATATATTTTTAAAAAACTCTAATACAGTAGTCCCCCTTTATCTGTAATTTTCTTTCTGTGTTTTCAGTTACCTGGTGGTCAACCATGGTCCAAAAATATTAAATAGAAAAGTTAAGGAATCATAAGTTTTTTTTTTTTTTTTTTATTGATCATTCTTGGGTGTTTCTCGCAGAGGGGGATTTGGCAGGGTCATAGGACAACGGTGGAGGGAAGGTCAGCAGATAAACAAGTGAACAAAGGTCTCTGGTTTTCCTAGGCAGAGGACCCTGCAGCCTTCCGCAGTGTTTGTGTCACTGGGTACTTGAGATTAGGGAGTGGTGATGACTCTTAACGAGCATGCTGCCTTCAAGCATCTGTTCAACAAAGCACATCTTGCACCGCCCTTAATCCATTTAACCCTGAGTGGACACAGCACATGTTTCAGAGAGCACAGGGTTGGGGGTAAGGTCACAGATCAACAGGATCCCAAGGCAGAAGAATTTTTCTTAGTACAGAACAAAATGAAAAGTCTCCCATGTCTACCTCTTTCTACACAGACACCGCAACCATCCGATTTCTCAATCTTTTCCCCACCTTTCCCCGCTTTCTATTCCACAAAACCGCCATTGTCATCATGGCCCGTTCTCAATGAGCTGTTGGGTACACCTCCCAGACGGGGTGGCGGCCGGGCAGAGGGGCTCCTCACTTCCCAGTAGGGGCGGCCGGGCAGAGGCGCCCCTCACCTCCCGGATGGGGCGGCTGGCCTGGCGGGGGGCTGACCCCCCCACCTCCCTCCCGGACGGGGCGGCTGGCCGGGCGAGGGGGGAATCATAAGTTTTTAACAAATCAAAATATTTCTAAAAACCTAGAGTAGGCAGGAAAGGGGAAACAACACACAGCAGAGGAGACAAACAAAAAGGCACACCTGAACACAGTCATGCACCGCATAACGATGTTTCGCTCCACTACACATTTCATATGTGATGGTATAGCCTATGTATGTAGTAGGTTATACCACGTAGGTTTGTGTAAGTAGACTCTATGATGTTCACACGACGGTGAATTTTTTTTTTTCTTTTTTTTGAGATGGAGTCTCATTCTGTCTCCCAGGCTGGAGTGAAATGGCACGATTTTGGCTCACTGCAACCTCCGCCTCCCAGGTTCAAGCGATTCTCCTGCCTCAGCTTCCCAAGTAGCTGGGATTACAGGCATGCACCACGATGCCCGGCTAATTTTTGTATTTTTAGTAGAGACAGGGTTTCACCATGTTGAGCAGGCTGGTCTCGAATTCCCGACCTCTGGTGATCCACCCATCTTGGCCTCCCAAAGTTCTGGGATTACAGGCATGAGCCACCACGCCTGGCCAAAATTTTTTAATGATGGCTTTCTCAGAACATATCCCTGTCATTAAGTGACATACGGTTGTAATGTCATCAGTGATTACATTAAATATAAGTGATCAAAAAGAGATTACAAGATTGGAATTTTTTTTTTTTGAGACAGAGTCTTGCTCTGTTGCCCAGGCTGTAGTGCAGTGGTGTGATCTCGGTTCACTGCAACCACTGCCTCCTGGGTTCAAGCAGTTCTCTGCCTCAGCCTCCCTAGTAGCTGGGATTACAGGTGCCTGCCACCACACCTGGCCAGTTTTTGTATTTTTAGTAGAGATGGGGTTTCACCATCTTGGCCAGGCTAGTCTTGAACTCCTGACCTTGTGATCCACCCGCCTTGGCCTCCCAAAGTGCTGGGATTACAGGCATGAACCCCCGCGCCTGGCCTGTTGTTTATATTTTATCACATTAAAAAAGCAGAAGGATGAAAAATGTATTATGCAAACACTAATCAACAGATAATTTCACTGGCTTGTTAGTTGTTTTGTTTTTTTGAGACAGGGTCTCGTCCAGGCTGAAGTGCTGTGGTGCGATCTCGGCTCATTGCAGCCTCGACCTCCTGTACCCAAGTGATCCTCCCACCTCAGCCTCTCAAGTAGCTGGGACTACAGGTGTGTGCCACCACGCCGGACTGGTTTTATTTTTTGTAGAGATGGGGCCTCACAATGCTGATCTGACTGACTCGAACTCCTGAGCTCAAGCTATCCTCCCCACTTGCCCTCCCAAAGTATTGGGATTACAGGTGTGAGCCACTGCACCTGGTTATGCTTCTTTTTTATTTTTTTTCTTTCTTTTTTTTTTTTTTTCGAGACGGAATCTCACTCTGTCGCCCAGGCTGGAGTGCAGTGGTGCGATCTCAGCTCACTGCAAGCTCTGCCTCCCGGGCTCATGCCATTCTCCTGCCTCAGCCTCCTGAGTAGCTGGGACTATAGGCACTCGCCACCACGCCCGGCTAATTTTTTTGTATTTTTAGTAGAGACGGGGTTTCACCGTGTTAGCCAGGATGGTCTCGATCTCCTGACCTCATGATCCGCCCGCATCAGCCTCCCAAAGTGCTGAGATTATAGGCGTGAGCCACCGCGCCCGGCCTATTTATGCTTCTTAATTTTCCCATGTCATAAGTTCGATGTATAATATTTACATTATCATTCAGTTTAAAACATTCACTGTTTTTTTTTTTAGAGACAAGGTCTCGCTCTGTCACACAGGCTGGAGTGCAGTGGCACAGTCATAGCTCACTGCAGCCTCAGCAGCCTTAACTTCTTGTGTTCAAGGAATCCTCCCCACTCAGCCTCCTGAGTACCACACCCGGCCTTTACGTCTGTTTTTGTTTTTTGTTTTTTTGTTATTAACTCATTGATTGTTGAGAAGTCTGTTGCTTTATTTCCAAAATGGGACGATATTAGTCATCTTTGAGTCAGGTGAGTCCCACAAGTTCCCAGCGTCTCCTCATGGTCTGTGTTAGGGGTCCAGGCTGACTGGGGTTCACTGGTGTCCACTGGGGGCAGCTCCCGTGCCTTCAGCAGTCCTGAGTCTCCTTCTGCTGAGTGTGGGGTCTGCGTACCCCCCGGGCTAGTGGATGGCCAGAGTGGCGTAGATGCTGGGCTCAGCTGGAGGTTCCCCTTCCTGGGATGGAGGAGGCTCAGTTGCCTTCCGTCTAAGGGTCAAGCTGTGCAGCTGGGCGTAGGTCACATCCTGGGAGGCTTCAGATGCAGCAGCCTGCAGCGGGGGAGAGTGAGAGGTAAGGAACGTGGTGGGGGTGGGGGAGGCCTGGGGGCCTGGAGAGGAAAGGACTCACCTCAGTGTCCATCTGCCTGTCCTCTTCCACCTGTCTGTCCTTTGTGTCCAGGAATTCCCCAGACAGTGAGGAGGGAGGAGAGGCCATTTCTCTCCTAGGACTGGAGTGTTTCACCGGGGCATACGTCACTGCCTGGGGGTCTTCATCGTGTGGGCTCTGCTGGAGAGAGACAGTGGTGGGGGGTGTCCTTGAGTCCCCCTGACCTCCTGGAGTCAATTTTCCTCACTGTTCCCGGGGTGATCCGATTACATCCCTTTCCTGATGGAATCTCAGGGACGCCCTAAGGCCGTGGAGGGTCTGGCCGCTCCCTCCCTGTGGTTCTGGCCTCTGCTCCTCACTCTGACCTTGCCCATTTGGCTGCAGCCTCACAGGCCTTCCTGCAAGAGCTCGCTGCTGCCTGGGGGCCTTTGCACGGCTGTTTCCTCTGCCTGCAGGGGCTCGTCTATCAGAGGATCATGTGCCCCACTCTGTCCAGGCTTCTCAGATGACAGCTGAGCAGACAGCCCTCCCCTTCCATTCAGACTGGCCCCACTGCCCCACACTCTCTGCCCTTTCCCTGGTGTATGTTCCTTACAGCACGTTGCACTCCTGGACACGATGCATTTATTTGCATTTTGTCTCCCACCATGAGGTGAGCTCAGGAGGCGGGGGCGGCTTTGCTCCCTGCTGTGTCTGCAGCTCCCATGGGGAGCCCCATCCACAGTGAGCTCCCTGGGAACACTCGCTGGATGAATGAATGAAGAGGAGCCCAGGGGACGGAGGTGGTTCATTTATTCGTCATCCTCCTGAGGCCTGGGGAGAGCTCTAACAACCAGACGGCCAAACAGAGGATGAGGAGCAGGAAGGGGACCCGGGAGGAGGCCCACGAGGTCCCAGGACAGCAGAAGAGAGTGAGGTCACAGCAGGCGGGAGGCAGCATGCTGGACAAGGAGGGGTCCACCGTGACGATGCTGAGAGCCGGGGGAAGGAGGACAGAGAAGTCCTGCAGGATTAGATCTGGCACCAGGAGGCCTTTGGTGCCTGGGACGGGGCGGGATCTCACCTGACTGTCCAGCTCCACCCTGTCCTCAGACTGTGTGTCCTTCACGGCAGCATCTGCTGGGGCAGAGCAAGGGGTTCGTCTCCTGGTTCTCTGAGACCTCTCAGTCCTGCTGGCCCCCTGCCCTGCTCCCAGATGGGGCCACCGAATGCAGGGAGGTCCCACAGTGTGGGGCAAGACCATCTTCCACGGAGCCCCAGACCCTTCCCAGCCCCTCCCTGTTGCTACTGAAATTTTGGGACTCCTGTCTCTCCAGCACCCCCATTTGTCCCCTCTCTTCCTCTTACAGAGGTTTTCTTCCTGGACGTCAGCAGCTGGGCTGGACCTGGAGGAGGACATGGGAGTGTGAGGGGCAGTGTATGGGCTGTGGTGGGTGGGAGTCTGTGGTCTTTGGGGCAGAATTACCTCCTCAGCAGGCCCCTGTCCTTGGGCTCTGTCTCCGCAGCCCCTGCAGGACGCTGGAAATCAGTCTTTCTCTGGTCTGGGTGAAGATGGACAGAGTCTCAGCCCTGGGAACATTAGAACTCCCATTCTACACATGCAACTTGAGGGAAAGAAGGAAAACTAAAAATATTCCTGCATGGATGTTCCAAATATTTTATGAGATAGAAAAAAACTCCCATGAATACTGAAGTTTGTAAATGCGTATTGAAATTACGTGCCCCTGGAACCGGTTTTCTAAACTGACACCCCTGTGTGTTTGGGTTCCCTCTGGCTGGTGCCCTGAGCCCACCCTCGGTCGACCCATGGGTCCCCCGCTTCCCTACTCACCAGATGTCCTGTGTTTGCTGTGACGCTGACGTCGGAGGAGGAGGAAGAGGAGGAGGAAGAGCAGCAGGACGAAGGCCACCGAGACCCCAATCAAAACCTCCAGGTATCTTCCCAGACCTTGACATGAGGACGTCAGGAGTGGGAATGATGTCATTGATGTGAGCACCTACTGTGTGCAGGCGCGAGCCAGGTCTTTCCTTCGTGACCTCCAACCCTCACAAGCAGTCGTGCAACATGGAATTGCCACCCGTACAACCCATTTCACAGATGCACAAACTGAGGCTCAGAGCAGGGAGTCGCCTGCCCCAGGCCTCCAGCGAGGAAGCGGCAGAGCTGGGAAGGGAGCCCGGGAGTCTGACCTGCAGCCCTTGTTCCTGCACCAGAGCCGAGACCCGGAGCTGCAGGGAAAGAGCCTGACCGTCCTGAACCACGGCCCTGCTCCCCTCCCCTGCCCCAGGTCACCGTCACTGCTGCAGGTGGGACGGGACAGGCCCCTGTGGAATCGGGTCTGGGAGGTTCCCTGGGAGGCCTCCTCTCCCAGGAGGTCACAGCTGGGGGTCAGAGCTGAAAGGAACTTTCCCACCCACAGGCCTCTCTCCTTTACACTTGGAGAAACTGAGGCCCAGGCAGGGGAGGGGCCTGTCCACATCACCACCTCCAGAGGAGCCTGAACCTAGGACAGAACCCACCCCTGCCTCCCCTGGACCCCGCCCATCTCCCACTCAGAGCCCCTCACTCACGATTCTGAGGGCCTGACCCTGGGGGGTTAAGGGGCTGGTCCTCAGGACCTCCTGGGTCAGGACAGGGAGGTGAAGGCTGGGGCTGTCTTGCCCCCCACATCAGCCCGGCTCCTCCTCCTGGCTGGGCCCCAACATCTCCCTCTGCCTCGACCCCCCACTCTTCACCAGCCCAGCCTCAGAGCCCCTGGGACACAAGCCCGTCCTTGAGGGGAGGGGAGTGGGATCCTTTGGGAGACTCAGACTGCCCTGGGGGAGGCGGCGCTCCCCACGAGGCCTCAGTGACTCACCAGGTGTGGAGGGCGGCCCTGTGGGTGGGAGGCTGGAGCCTCCAGAGTGTCCTGGAAGGAGCACGGGAGGCGGGTGAGGGGCGGGGGCCGTCCATGGAGTGCACCCTTCCACTCCCACTCTCCTGCTTCCGCCCAGTGGATTCCCTGGAACCATCTCTCTGCCCACCTGGTGCCTTCTGCATGCCAGGCAGGGGAGAACGGGTGGCCACGCCTAGGAGAACCCCTGTTGGCCTCCTCCCCTCTGAGGGCTGGGTGCCCTCTGGCTAAGCCTCCCTCACAGCCTCCCTCGGTCCATCCCAGCCGAGAGCTCTCCTGGGGGCCTGGGCCTGAGCTGAGCCTTTGAGCTCAGAGAGGACGGGGTCAGCGCCCTCACCTGAGACCACGAGCTCCAGGGGCTCACTGGGGTGAGACAGCAGGTGGGGGTTGGAGCTGTATGAGCCGTAGCACCTGTAGGTCCCCGCGTGGGCTGAGGTCACAGGACTCATGGGGAATTC